>NC_000005.10:24550244-24853275 GCF_000001405.40 Homo sapiens | reverse complement strand
GACAATCCTATCACGAGAACAGCACCAAAGGGATGGTGTTAAATCATTCACGAAAGACCCGTCCCCATGATCTAATCATCTCCTACCAGGCCCCACCACCAACACTGGGGATTGCAATTGAACATGAGATTTGGGTGGGGACACAGATCCAAATCATGTCATTTAGGAAGATGTTATGGGAAGGCAACTTGTTGGTGATATGACTGGGAACAGAATATAAGCCACCTGCAATATTTTGCCAACTGACAAAAAAGTATCAAAGACCAAGAAAAAAAAATGGCATCAATTTTCGGAAATATTCAATTTTGTGAGGAGTCTCTGATAAGTTTAGATAGTACCTAGTTTTCACAGGAGAGTTATTTTCCCTCCTCAGAAAAGTTGTGTTCTAAATAATAAACTGCATTTTAGCAAAATTGTGATTAATGCTTTGAAAGTTTCTCCTAAGGCTCAGAGAAAGAAAATGAAATCATTCTGCACCATTTGCCTTGTCTCTAAACAAAGTAAGAGGTTATCCTTATATTATGTCAGAACTCAACTTGAATCCAAAATTTAACTTTAACAGTTACTTGCACATCTTATCTTGGGATAGATGGATCTTTGGGGACAACTGAAATTTTGGAAGTCTTAGGAGAGTTGTTGGGGACAAGTAGGCATATTTGAACAAGGAGAAGAGGAGGGACGAGTCGAGAGGTAGCGTGGGGAGAGCTCAGAAGCAAAATATGTACAGGAGAGCTGAATATAGGGGTGTTAACTGGAGGACAACAAAGGGAAGGATTTACTAGAAACATAAGTCTATTTTTAGTTGTGGAATTCTGTCAATTTTCCCATTAATTTTTGGCCAGTGAATATTTTTTGGTGGCAAAATTTTAATCAGAATTGTGTTTGGTGGCCATAGCATACCAATAAAATTAATGCTCACCATTGAGTCCTAGAAATTTTTCTTCCTTTCTTTTCTATGATAATTTTAAATGAATAATTTGATTTCAGTCCAATGATCCTAGAGTTGGTTATTGAAGCCCAAAATCATCCTTGGTGAAGTTGTGCCATTTAGAGAGATGAGTGTAAGAATTAGTATTGCAAAAAGAGTGTGCTCAAGGAGTTTTTCCCTGCAGGAGGTGATTTAGAATTAGATTTAGATGTAGAATTATATGATTCCATGAGAGTTAACAACAGTCAATCAAAGTGATGCTTGTACACTTTTCATCTTGGGCCTCCAGCCTGACAAATGGCCACCTCTCAATGCAGATCCGACAATCCAAACCCCCTCCCCAACCCTCTATCTCCTCAACAAGAAGAAAACCAGAAGGAACTCAGCATCAAAATCAAGTTCTCAGGACAAAAAGAAAGAAAAAAGATCAAATAAGAAGGAGAAATTCATTTGGTTTTATTACTGACTATGCCAGTCAGAATAATGGCTCACCAAAGACGTCCACATCCTAGTGTCTGGAACCTGTGACTATATTACCTTACATGGCAATAGGGACTTTACAGATGTGATTATGTTAATGATCTTGAGATGAGGAGATTGTTTGATATTATCCAGGATGCCTAAATGCAATCAGAGGAGTCCCTAAAAAGGGAAAGAGAGTCAGAAGCATCAGAATTAGAGTGAGATATGAAGTGGTACATTGCTACCTTTAAAAATGGTGGAATGGGCCACAAGCCAGGGAATGCAGCTAGCTTTTAGAAGCTGGAAAAGACAAAGAAATGTACCTTCCTCTACAGCTCCCAGAAAAACACAGTCCTGCTGAAATCTTAATTTTCGCACAGTGAAACTCATTTTTGATTTCTGGCCACCAGAACTGTAAAAGAATTTAAGCCACCAAATTTGTTATGACTTGTTACAGCAGCAAAAGGAATTTGCACAGCGCCCTATGGTGGTGTTGTGTTCAAATTGACCCCAGTCTGGGGAGAAAAACAAACTCTGGGTGGTAAGCCCAGCGTGAAGCTTGAACAACAGGCCTTTAGGGCCCATGCCTGTGTTCTATGCTGTGATTCTCTTATTCTAACCCACATCATTTTCAGACAGCGCCACACAAACAGAAGGACAAGAAAGGGTAACAAAAGGATGAAAAGTCATGCCAAAAAAAAAAAAAAATGAAAGGACGAATAACAAAACCAGAGCACCAAATTGAGCCAAGAACCACAATGAAAAGCATTGACTTCAAACCTGGTGCTGTCGTACTATGTCAGTGCAGATTCAACAAACCATGATGCATGATGGGTCTCCATGGCTACTCACCCTGTGGGAAGGCTGGAGTTCTGTCACAGTGCAACTTTCAGGGAAGCTGGGGAAATGAACAAAGGAAATGCAAATCAGAAGAAACAGATGCTATTTATTTGAAGCTTGTTAGAGAAAGGAAGTTGGCTATCATCACCTGCATTTGATACAGACTCAGAGGAAGGGAGTGGGAAAGCTTTAGAGTGAACAGTTAAAAACCTCCAGGTATGTTCTGATTGGAAGCTGTTGGCATGGGGAAGTTGGAGGTGGGCTAACTAGAAGCCAGATGCCTTATGGGATTGGTTTGTGGAGAAGATTTGGTTTGCCCTCGTTGATCATGAGGTAGAAACAAGGGGAAAAACATGAGAAAACTGGTGGTCACTGACCAAGTACTAACCATTCTGAACCGGTTGCTGCAGAGACTGTGGCTTGACTTCCTGGGTTGGTTGACACAGAGATTATAGGTGAAAGTTCTATTATCATATAGCCTAGTCCCTGTCCATGTATATATTCAGTCTCTCCAATGGTACTCCACACTGGTGAATCTGGGAAACATGGAGAAGTAGTCTTGTGCATGATAATGGAAACTTAACAGGGTTAGGAAGGTGTTACCATTGTAGGGCAGTCTGGAAGAAGGTGTCAGTGCTTGAGTAGTGTGAGGAGTCTTTCCGTGATGGAGGGAAATCCTGTATGGGGTGTCAGAAGCCAGGTACAGTGATAAAGGCATTTGCATGCAGAGGGGGAGTGGCAGCAATGGAAGATTAAAATATACAAGAAGGAAGTGATCAAAGAAGTGATTATATCAAAGAAAATACAGCCAGGTTTCTCACCGTTGCAGAAGAAACAAAGAAAATATGATAATTTTATGTCAACTTGGCTAGGTAATGAGGACCAGTTAGAAAAAACACTAAGTTGAATGTTGCTGTGAAGGCATTTTGTAGATGTGGCTAACTTTTAAAATAAGTTTAAGAGCCTTAAGAGTCTTAAGAGCAAAAACTGAGATTTCCCAAAGAAGGAGAAGTTCTGCCTCAAGATTATAGCATGAAAATCCTACCTGAGTTTCCAGCCTGCTGGTTTGCCCTATCAATTTCAGACTTGCCAACCCCCCAGAATAGCACAAGCTAATATATACAGTTGACCCTTGAACAACACAGGTTTAACCGCATGGTTCTATATATATGTTTGGGATTTGCAACAATTTTTTAAAACTTGTAAGTGGCATACCCTAGAAATATATAAAAAATTTAAATGTTAAGTATGTCATGAATCCATGAAATATATGCAGATAATAGTCTATTTTATTATTTACTACTACAAAATATATATAAATTGATTATAAAAACTTTAAGTGTATTATAAAAATTAATTATAAAGTGATTATTTTAAAAACTCATTATAAAAACTTGAAGTGTATCAAAAGTTACATACACAAACAGAACATACATGGTGCCTTTTGAGGTCAAGAGGAATGTAAACCAAAGTAAATATGCAGTATTAAATTGTAACTGCCTAAAATTAATTGTAGTACATATTGTACTGTTTTAATAATTTTGCAGCCACCTCCTATTGCTATTAAGTTGAGCTCAATGTAGATCTGACAATCCGAACCCCCCCAACCCTCTATAGTCTTGCAAATATCTGCTTAAAATTCCAGAAGATGTTAATTATCTCTGCATGAGCAGTTCCTCTCTCCAGTAAACTGTGCTTCACAGAAAAAAAAAAGTGATTTCTCATGGTTCTTCCATACTTTTCATCATGTTTCATGCAATTCAATAAACCTTGACTAACACCATGGGACTCATACAAAGTGCCATTATTGATGCTGGAAGTGCTCTCAAGAAGCAGAGAAAAGTCATGATGTTACAAGAAAAAGTCAAATTGCATGATGTGTATCATAGATAGAGGTTTGCAGCTGTAGTTGCCCACCATTTCATGATAAATGAATCCAGCATAAGGACCATTATTTACAAAAAGAAAAAAAATGTATGAAGAGATGGTGCAGCTATGCCAGCAGGCACAAAAATCTTGCACTTTTTGTGAAATACCTTTTTATCTCTTATTGAAAATTCAGCTTTTATGTAAGTAAAAGATTGCTGTAAGAAAGGCAAACCTATAGACTCTCATATAATTCAAGGAAAAGCAGTCAATAAATGACAACTTAAAGCAACAGGAAAGTAAAGGATCTAAAGCTAGAGAATTTAATACCAGCAAAGGATGGTTTGATAATTTTAGAAAGAGTTTTGGTATGTCAAGATAGATCTCGAGGTTTGGCTGGAAAACTGTCAGGATTTCTACCTGAACCAATTTTAAGTGCAAACAAAAGTGCCCTATTATGAAAAAAAAATTCCACCAAGGACGTATATTAGTAAAGAGATGCAAACACTAGAATTTAAGGCAGGAAGGGATAGGCTAACTGCACTGTGTTTTGCAAATGCAGACAGGTTCATGATTAGGACTGCTCTCATCTACAAATGTGCTGATCCCCAAGTCTTGAAGGGAAAAGATCAACACCAGCTGCCAGATTTTTGGTCATATAACAAGAAGGCCTGCACAATCAGAATCCTTTTTCTGAACTGAAGTACCTTGCCAGTAAGGGATGACCTTTTAAAGTTACTTTGGTATTTGACTATGCTTCTGGTTACCCAGAACTCCATGAGTTCAACACCAAAGAATCAAAGTGGTCTACTTTCCCCCAAACACAATGTCTCCAATTTAGCCTCTTGATCAGGAGGTCTCATTAAACACAGAATTCTATGGAAAATATTGTCAATACTATGGAAGAGAACCCTGTGAGACAGAACATCATAAAATTCTGGAAAGATCACATAATTGAAGATATCATTGGGTTTTATAGAAAACGCCGTGAAATCCATCAGGGCTAAAACAATAAATTCCTGCTGAAGAAAACTAGGTCCAGGTACTGTGCATGAATTCACAGGACTTACGACAGAGACAATCAACAAAATCATGAAATAGACTGTGGGTAAGGCAAAAAAGTTGGTAATGAAGGGTTTCAAGATATGAATCTTAGAGAAACTAAAGAGTTAATAGACACCACAACAAAAGAATTGACAGAAGGCAATTTGACAGAGGTGAGTGCTTCTAAGCCAGTGCCAGAGGATGAGAAAGAGGACATAGGAGAAACAATGCCAGAAAACAAATTCATATTAGACAATCTAACGTAAGGTTTCTGACTATTCAAGACTGCTTTTGACTTCTTTTATGTCATGGATCCTTTTATGATACAGTCACTGAAACTAAAGGAAATGGTGGAAGAATAATTGGTACTGTATAGAACTGTATAGAAACATTTTTAGAGAAATAAAAAAGCCAAAATCTCAGACAGAAATTATGAAGTATTTTCAAAAAATGTTCCTGCTTCTCCTGCCTCTCCTCCGTTTCCACCTCTTCCACCACTACCACTCCTGAGACAGTAAGGCGCAGCCCTCCTCACCCTCTTCTACATAAGGCTACTGAACTTAATGATCAGGATGAAGAATTTTATGATGATCCACTTCCACTTAAAAATAGTAAATATAGCCAGGCATGGTGGTTCATGCCTGTAATCCCAGCACTTTTGGAGGCCGAGGTGGGTGGATCACGAGGTCAGGAGATCTAGACCATCCTGGCTAACACAGTGAAACCCGTTCTCTACTAAAAATACAAAAAATTAGCCGAGCGTGGTGGCGGGCACCTATAGTCCCAGCTACTGGGGAGGCTGAGGCAGGAGAATGGTGTGAACCCAGGAGGCAGAGCTTTCAGTGAGCCAAGATTGCGCCACTGCACTCCAGCCTGGGAGACAGAGCGAGACTCTGTCTCAAAGAAAAATAGTAAATATATATATTCACTTCCTTATAATTTTCTTAATTTATTGTAATAATAGAGTATATAATAAATATAACATACAAACTATATGTTACTCAACTAATTATGTTATAATTAAGACTTCTGGTCAACAGTGGGCTGTCAGTAGTTAAGTTTTGGGAGAATCAAAAGTTATGTGCAAATTTTTATCTGTGCACCCCTAACCCCCACATTATTCAAGGGTCAAGTGAATTATATATACAGGTGACCTTTGAAAAAGACAGGCTTGAACTGTAAGCCTCCACGTATAAGCAGATTTTTTTTTTCCAATTGGATGTAGACTGTATTCTTAGGATGCAAAACCCATCTATATGGAGAAAGAAATTTTCACATATGTGGGATCCAATGGGCCGACTGCAGGACTTGAGTATGCATGGATTTCAGTATACATCTGAGTGGGATATCTGTAATTAATCCCCTTCATATACAGAGGGGTAACTGTGTATAGTTTTTCTTCTGTTTTCTATTTATCATCATATGAAAAATATGTTTTGGTCAATAATGAATTGCATATATGATGGTGGTCCCATAAGATTATAATACCATATTTTTATTGCATCTTTTCTGTGTTTAGATATACAAATATCACTGTGTTCCAGTTGCCTACAGTATTCAGTATGGTAACACGCTGTACCAGTTTGTAGCCTAAGAGCAATAGACTATACCATATATCCTGGTGAGTGGTAGGCTATACCATCTGGTTTGTGTAAGCACATTCTGTGATGTTTGCACAATAACAAATTTGCCTAACAATGTATTTCTCAGAATGTATCCTGGTCATTCAGCTATGCCTGAAGAGCCCTAATGGATACAGAAATTATAAGATGAGAACAGAACATCATCTTGAGCCATAAGGTAATTAAGTGCTCAAAGAATGATGGGGACATATCAAAAGACACAAAACCCGGCTCAAAGGTGTTCCCACTGTCTGCCAAATCTGGGACAATATAAGCAGCAAAATAACTAATGATAGTTATCAATTACAATCAATTGAGTAAATTGATAAGACCACTTACATAAATAAATAAAGTAAAAGCTTGATGATTACATAGTGGAGAAGCCTTACAAATACATCTCTAATCAAGTGAAGTGCACATCACCAAAAAGAGGACATATTTGAATGTATTACTTCATAGAATACACTGAAATCATACCTTCATTTTTCTTGAATTTTATTGTATGGAAATTAGACAAGCCCAAATAAAGGAAAGTCTACAAAACGTCTGGTCACTAACCCTCAAAAGAGTCAAGATCCTGAAAGTCGAGGAAAGATTGAGGAAATATTCCAGATAGAAACTTAAAAATATGTAATAGGTGATTCTGATTTGAATCCATCTTCTGAAATCACAAGTACCAGTGCTTAAATAGATCTGTAGATTAAGTGGTTGCATTACTCTGCCTGGACTGCCAAAACAGAATACTTGGGTGACTGAAACATAGAAATTTATTTTCTCACAGTTTTGGAAGCTAGAAGACCAAGCTGCCATGATGTTAGTTTCCAGTAAGATCCCTTTTCCTGGCTTGTTGACAGACACTTTCTCCCTGTGCCTCAAAGGGCCTTTCCTCTATCAGCAGGCACTCCTAGTGTCTCTTCCTCTGTTAAAAACACCAATTCTATTTGATCAGTTCCACACCCTTTTGATTCACTGAAGCTTAATGATCTCCCTAAAGGCTCTATTTCTAAATACAGTCACATTGAGGGTTAGGGCTTTAAATGATAAATGTGGGGTGAACGTAGTTCACTCTATAACATTGGTAGAGATGTAGTCATGTTAATTTCTTAATTTTGATGTTTATAGTGTTGTTCTATAGGAGAATGTTTTTGTTATAGAAGTTATACCTTAAGTACTTCAGTGGTGATGGGACATCATGTAGACAACTTATCCTCTATTCCAGAAAAATGTTATTTATATAATATTTGGATATTTATGGTAAGTGTGAGAGTTTTTCAAAATTAAAACAAAATAAAATAAAACAAAATTCTAATCATGAAAAACAATGAAATAATTTCAAATTGAGGAACCTTCTACAAAACAGCGAGCCTCTTTACTTCATAAACATTAATGTCCTGAAAAACATGACAACAAGATACAAATGCGTGAGCCTGACTAGAAAAGCAAAGCAGGGTGTGCCATAAAGGAAAGCACTGCAAAAAGTGAGCATAATTTTAACGTGGATAACAACTTCTAACAACGTGAAGTTTTCTAAACTTGATCATTGCTTTGTGGTTATGTAAGATAATGTCCTTTTTTTAGAGAAAGGTATGCACAAGTATTTAAGATCATAGTGCATGATATCTACAACTTGCCATCTTTTTCAGAAAAGATTAATAAACAGACAAACTATTGGCAAAATACAGAAAAATATGTGAATTTAAACACAGAAATTATAAAAGTTATTTTAAATATTTTATAATTTTTATAAAGATCTGATTTTTATTTCAAAATAAATGCATAATTAAAAAATAATACTCTCTAGAAAATAGAAATGAAAGGCAATTTCCTACTCACAACAGCAATCTAAGAACAGATTTAATAAGAAATTTTTAGGACTTATATAAAGAGACCTAAAAAGACTTTTCTGGGAGATATAATAGTCTGAAAAAAGTAGAGAAAGCATTAAACCATATTAGTAATTACCAAAAAATATGAAAATAGATATGAGATTGTTCTGCCCACCAATTTGAAAACTAAATTGCAAAATAATATTTATAATACACGTACGGTAAGTGTATGGAGAAATGAGCTTTCTTATGCCCTACTTAAGGAATTTCATTTCATATTATCTCTCTTTTAAACAACTCCATAACAGTACCAAAATCCTCCAGATAGTCCACACCCTTTGGAGGGGTGTGAAGTCACTCACCTGTTTTCTTGTAGATCTATTCCTCTGTAATTACCCCCACTTGACTCAGAATAGGTTGAACCAAGGAGAAACACTGATGGGAGATTTCAGACAGACGAAGAAAGTAGTGAGAGTGTTTCTACTTCTATCTCTGGCCAGAAGTCTCTGTAGTTTCAAATCATCATTCTGCCCAGGCTGTGATCCCACCTGCCGCCCAGAAGCCAGCTCTAATTCTTGGCTGATAATATGGCTATCTCCTATTTTGTCCTTTAAACCTGAGTGAGCATATCAGCTTCAAGTTTTGTTAATTTCTGAGTTGCCTCATTACCCCATTTGTCTTTCAAACATGTTCTTGAAAGTAGATTTGTAAGTAGTTTATCTTTTTAAATGCTCTCTGTTGCACCACCTGGAATAAATTTTGTTTTACTGATGGGACTTTGATTGATATGAGTGTAAATCCTCCTGTGTATCCCAAAGACATACTACAATAAACATCTGAGTTCAAGATTGCTCATCTTGGTTCTATGAAATAGCAAAATGGAGGAAGCATTTAAATATCTAAAGATAGTTTATTGGTTAAACTTATAGTTCATTCTTATTAGGTAGCCATTATTTAGTTACCAAAAATTCTGTCTTTAAGTTCTTATGTTTCAGAAAGTTGTTCAGCCCATAAAATTTAGTGAAAAAAAGTATACGACTTTTGTAATATCCTGAAATGAGCAAGTAGAATAAACTTTTTATCACTGATTTTCTAATTGCTGAGATTGCAGGTTATCACTTTTTTTTGCATTTCTCATATTTTCAAAAGAATATATTTAATTCTATATATTTAAACAATAACTATTACTTAGAGAAAAAAGTTTCTAGGTGAGCATGCAAGAAGTCATTTGTACTTCTGCTGCAAATGTCTCTCTTTGCATTCTTTTAAGGAGCTCAATAATATTGCATTAAAGTGTAATCAACATTGAAGATACATCCGCATCAAACATGCTGTCTTTCATTCCTGACACATTAAAGTGATTACAGTCTATTCTCATTATTCATAGACTGCTTGTTTGCAAATTTGCCTACGCAGTGAAATATATTTAGAACCCCAAATCAAATCAATACTCATGATGCCTTCTCCATCATCCGAGGACATGTGCAAATCAGTGAAAATTTTGAGTCGTCCGATGCACATGTTTTTAGCTGAGATCAAACAAGGCCATGCTCTGCCTTCTTATCTCACCTCTCAGGCTGTAAACAAGCGTCCTAGTCTCCTTAGTGCCATGATCTTTTTTTTTTTTTCATTTTTGTTGGCAATTTCACTGTTTAAAATGGCCCCTAAACAGTACTGAAGTGCTGCCTAGATTACCTAAGTGCAAGATAATCTAGTGTGTCTAAGTGTGTCTTCCAAAGGAAATATGTGTGTTAGATAAGCTTCATTTGGTCATGAGTTATAGTGCTGTTGGTTGTGAGTTCAATGTTAGTAAGTCAACAACGTAGATTAAATAAGGCATCTTTAAACAGGCACACACATAAAACAACATTACATATTGACTGGTTGATGAAAATGTGACCAGATGCTCTCAGGAACCTAGCCCCGTGTTTCTCCCAGGAGCAAAGGTTCGGTATTTGCCAATTCAGTGTTTGTGGGTAATTTATAGAGCATAACTACCACAAATAACAAGAATCAACTGTTTTGGACCTAGTTTTCTAAATAGTTTCTATATGTTGTCTTAGCACTTTACTGCTTGCTCACAAGTGTTTCAGGAAAATGTCATTTATTTACAATATTATCTGATGCACACTCTGCAGGGACCTAATGTTTTAGGTGAGCTCTCAGTAGGTACCTTCATGTGGATCCAAGAAGATTCATAGTCTCTGCATTTTCTGCCTCAATCTATCTGTGTTTCTTTGGCTTCATCTGTATTACGTGTTGAGATTCCATGTTGGTTCTTATTAATGTGATTTCTGCCAACAAAATAAAAAAGGAAAAGAAAATCACAGATATTAAGGCATTTTACAGTCAACGATGATGATGATATTTGAATTATTAATATAGTTACTGTTATTATTTTAAACATAGAGAACTTGAAAATAGTGTCTTACAGGAAAATCCTAGAAGATAAGTAATTACAACTATATAATAGAAAAAGAAAGCCTTTTGCTGCATTGAATTTTCAAGTCAATTGCCTAATTTCTTCAGAATTAACATCTATTAATTCAATATTTTAATGAAATAACTAGGTTGTGTAGGTTGTAAGCAAGAACACTGTCAAGGGCAATGAAGTAAGAAGTGATTATAACAATTTTCATCCCTAGAGGAGGTGCTTGGCAACTATTAGGAAAGGAGAGGGATGACCAAGGATTGGGAGATGTAAAGGTCACTCAGAGGTGGCTTCAAGCCAGAATAATTGACGTGTGGGGGTGGGGGTGTTTGACGTGAGAGGGGGTCAAGATTGACAATAAGAGACATCAGAGACATTACTAAGAGAGAAGAAACACACCTGATCTGGGTGGAAAAGTATTGTTCTTATTTTCTTTTTATATGTGTGCAATTAGTTGGTGAAATATATAAACTGAGAGATGTTCAGCAAGCAATCTGAGGCAGCGAAATTTGAGGTAGAAAAAGAAGACAATGATGGACATATTTTAGGAGATTTTCATGGTTTAGTAATACTACTCATATATGTTGAGAAGTGTCAGTTAAGTTTTATAATTGGGCTAAAATGTTTAAGGAAAGAAGTTTTACTCTGAAGATGTAAAGAAAACATAACTGGTGATTAAATGTCCACAAAGGCAGCACGCCATATTTGAGCTCCCTCCTGAGTAAGAAAAGAAAATAACACAGTTTCAGTGTGAAATCCCCTATGCCTGATTCCTGATCGCTCTGCTAAATGTTGTACAGGGTAAATGCACATCACGGTTTCTCTCTTTTTAACAACAACAACAAAAAAATTTGATGATACTATGAATAAAGGACAAATACTAAGAAGATCTTTACAGACTAAAATTTGATTCCAAAATAAATCTCTAAATGTTACTCTCCTCTCTCTCTTCACACCATAGTTAGCAAACTAATATCTAAACAAATATAGAGCAAACTAAATATGTCTATTAAACTTTGTTTAACATATATATGTCAGATTAAATTGTAGTTTCAAAGCTATAGAAATAAATAATATAGGCTCTGTCCACAAAAATCTCTGTCTAGTGGGAAAGTGGACAATAAACCAAAGATTACAGCACAGCAGGACAGTGCAAATACTATGGAAAAATTTTGCTCAAAATATGTGATAATAAAGGGAAGGATTGCCTAACTGTTGAACCTGAGGGATGTGGGGGTAGTGAATAGTTACTATTAGACATATGATAGCCATTTGCAATTATTTGGAAATTACTGAAACTTTAGACACATGATTTTTGTGTGTCCTAGACCCATTAAATGAAAATTTATCTGGGGAGGAGTATAAGTGTACACACATACCCCACACACACTCACACGCTTTAGTCAAACCTTCAATCTGATGATCATGCTGACATATAAAATTCAAGTTGCTTGACACCTGTGTCATAGCTGTTGGAAGTTGCCACTGACATAGATCAAATCTTTCTTCAATGAAAAGCTATCTTTATTGAAGATATTTCAATGAAAGGCACATAATATTTTGACTCCTAATGAAACTGACCTGGAGACATTGAAAAGGAGGGCATAATAGTGGGATTGGATTTAAGTAGTGAGATTAGAGAACTCACAGAAGATGACGTTTGAGTTAAATGTGATGTCACAAATGACAACACGTTGGGAAGGGTTTAAAATATAATTTTGGTCACATTCTTTAGCTCAGATTGAATTTTATAAAAACCTGATCATCAATCCTCTAATTCATCCCGAGATGAAGAGAGGCCTAGACTTCTCTTCATTACTCTAGTTATTCAGAGTTTTTTTAAAGTAGCCCTATGAGAGTTGCAACAAGTAAATTCTCCTGGAGTTTTCGTGATAAAGAGGGCATTTTTTCCACAAGCTGAGGACGGCTTCATAGAAGAGCAGATTTGAATGAAGACATACAAACTGATAGACATCTAAAAACAATATAGGGAAAAAATGCAACAAAGGTAGTATGTGTCTGATATTGACATTTATAATATCTAATACTTTAATGTTTCAATCCAACTTACAAGTTTATTATTTTCAGCTTTAGAAGCCACATGAATAAGAAAACAAAACACTAGAAACCAAAGACTTGCTGATCATTTGCCCTAAAATACCATCTTTGAGAAACTGCTTCCGAGAGACTTTGGCATTTCAAGTTAAGGTCTTATTTGGCAGCACGGCTCTCTTCTTTACATTGTTCCAGGAAAGTGTGGAGTTTAAGGAAATGGAATTTTTATACCCTTTTTATCCCCTTGGCTACTGATGCACTGATATTTTGGCACTCTCTGTGAGATCTCAGAGCTTTTCTGCAGTGCATTTTATTTTTAGAAAATTCTTTTAGCTCTATCTGCTTCTGTCATCTTTCACACAGGTGACAGACACACACACACATGCGTGCACGTGTGAGGAAAGTGGAGAAAATCCCTTTTTTAGATGTACTTTTAAGGAGTTACAGAGTTTTCTCTCCTATATGAAGCAAATTGAGGTTGAAAATCTTGTTCAAAGTTTCTGTAAAGCATGTAGTCTAAAAAACTTCATTATTGATGTATTCAGAATGTATCATTACATGTTTGCTGTATTATTTAAGTAATAATTCCTCAAAGGAACTTATTAATAATAACAATAATTACTATTCTTATACAATTTCAGCTATCAGGATTTATTCAATCATTTTTTATTTAAAACTGCCTCTTATGATATAATTTTATAGATATAGTAACAATCTTATCAGAGCAAAAAACTATCAATGAATTGTATGTAAGGTTTACACCCACTCTTTATAATGCCTAACTATTTATTAGCCCCAGACAGCATCTTATTAGAAGAAAGACTCTCTTAACAAAACTTGAAAGTAGTTTAAAATTATACTTCAAAGTGTCCTCCACTTTTTCCTAAAAATGAAACGTAGAAGGGAAAGTGGAAAGGTTTAGCATTGGTAGAAATCCCCTATTCCCACAGCTTTCAGGATAATAAGAATTCTGATCCTAGATACAGAGAGAGTGCTCTAACATGATTTTTAGATAATAAAAATGAATTAATAAATATGCTATGCAGAAGGAAAATTTCAAAGAATAAGCTTCTACTCCATCAAAACTGTGGGCTCATGCCCATTGAATCATAATTTCTGAGTACTGAGGCAATTCTTTCATTAATGAAACAGTTGTCAGTTTCTGTCCAATAATACCCTGTGTGCACAGCAAGCCAATGTCTGGCACAAAATATAATATTATTTCTCAATTTTATATTTTCATCTATTGACAACTGCTGAAAGAGCAAACAAATAAACCACAAGCGTTCTTGGAGCTTTCATGGAGTTTCTATCAGCCTTTTACTTTAGGCAAATCTCTGATGAAGGTTAGTCAAGCCTAAATTGTTAAATACATTTTATCGAATGAACATTTAAGTCCTATACTAATGCACAGGACATTTTCTTGACAGACCAAAGTTTCAAATTAAGCAGTATGCTGTATTAAATAACAAGGTAAAAATGCACATATATACCTTGAAAGTAATTTTGCTTTTATGTAACCTGGATGGATGAAACTTGGCCATAGAAAAAAGATCTGAACATCTGAACATTTCTTTATATTGATTGTAAATGTGATAACTAATTTTATTGTGTCAACTTGACTGGAATAGGAGATGTTCAGGTATCTGGATCAGGATTATTTCTGGGTATGTCTGTGAGGGTGTTTCCTGATGAGATTAGCAATGAATCAGTGGAGTCAGTAATGCAGATTTCCCTTCCCCTTGTGAGGATGCCACCAGGATGGGTGAGCATCAACCAATTGGTTGAGAGCCTGAATAGAACACAAGGAAGAAGGAAAAATTCATCCCCTTTTTGCTTCCCCCCTGCCCACTTGAGGTGGGACACTTCATCTCATTTTCTCCAGTTATCAGACTGGTATTATACCATCTCCTCTGGTTCTCAGGCCTTCAAAATTGGACTGATTTACACCACCAGCTTTCCTGGGTCTCCAGCCTGCAGATGGGAGATTGTGAAACTTCTCAGTCTGTGTAATCACATGAGCCAATTCCTCATAATAAATCACCTTTTATACATACACATATACACACACACATATCCTAATGGTTCTGTTTCTCTGGAGAACCCTGATTAATGCAATACATTTTTATTATCACTAATGAAACACGTCATGTGAAATGTATCTCAGAGTATACCAAATGTTTAAAAAAAAATGGCCCAACATAAAGCATTACCTGCTTAAGACAGGATACTTTTTGTAAAGGGGTTTGATTTTAGATGATTAAGCATAAAAGTAGTTTAAAAAATATTGGGGCGCTCAAGATACCTTTGGGATGACTGCCAGGTGGTGCAAATATAATCATTCAGGAGCAGTGCTGAGAATAACAAGCAGATCTGCTTAAAAAGAAAGCTCCACAACTGCCATGGCCACCGTAGATCCGCCACGTGCTCTGCTACCAGGCTCTTGACTTGCCCTGCAATCCATGATATTAACAGCAGCCACATCACTGAGAACCCATTGATGCAGCCATTTTTTCTTTGTAATCCACAAGCTTCTACAGTCACCTTTATGAATAAAGTTGATTTACATGGATGTACCTTCCCTTAGGTGCTCAAGTTTGAACCGAATTTTCACTGGGCTGAATCTGATTGGCAAAACCTAGGCAATATGCCTGTGGCCAGGATATAAAAGTGCCAATGGAAGAACATTTTGCAGCAGTTGCTGGGGGTCTACTTTAGGGAGAAAGTACTTATATGGTGTATAACTCCCAAATGTAATAGAGGAATTCCAAATTTATTGGAATAAATAAAAAGTGTAATGGAAGACTGTTACATTTGCCCAACTAATTAGTTTTAATTTAAAGTTGTATGTGTCAGGTCAATATAATCATCCATAATAACTAAGTTAATACTACTACTATTGCTACCACTGCTACTACTACTATTGCTAATAATAATTGCATTTGTTTTCTTTGCAGTTAATATTATTTACATTAATTTTCTTTTCTTCCTTTCTCTTCTTCCTTTTCCCCCCCACAACCCTGGGAGATAAACCTTGGAATCAAGGATAGAGTTCAGATTTCATTTCCGCTACCACAGCAGTTTTCCAGAGCTGTGCCATATACCATGAGGTACTCAAGATGTTTGCAGTTTCAGGGAGACCTGGAGATCAAAACTATTTCCACAATGATAGTAAACTGATATATTTGCCTTTTTTACTGTGTTGAAATTTAAACTCATGGTACAAAACGAGTGGTGGATAAAACCATTGATGCTTTCACACCAATCAAGACAAGCGAAAGCAGACCGTACTACTAAACTTTTTATAACTTCCCTCTACACAATCAGAGGGAGAAACCACAACAGCAGCAACTTATTGCCAAAGCAGTAAAATATGATTAATTTTCATAAACAATGGCCTTTGAGTATGAGTGTATGTACTTTTGATATTCTGTGTGATAAAATGTAAAATTCTCATGAAGAACTTCTGCTGTCTACTAAAGTATGGTGGTTGATGGTTGTCTTGAAGGAAAGTACATCTGTGATTGAGTGGCAAGCTGAGCCAGTTGATTTTTTTCCATTCAACAGAAGTTTTATTTCAAAGATTGGCTTACAATCTTACTCTTGTCATTCAGGCTTGGGCATTTAGCAGACATTTTCTAGAAAAATCAACAAAGTAAGCATGACACTTCAAAGAACATAACTAAAAGTATTTGTTGGGATTCATAAAAATTGAGCTTTTTGTGAAAAGTGAAATTTTAGAAAATGTATGTCAATGACTAAGCTTGACAGCCTTCCAACTCTTGGAGTCTTTTCTGACAAGGTCAGTAATTATATAAATGGATGCTATTTAAAAATATTTTATAATTAAATGTGCCAACATTTGAGAGATTTGCATAAATCAATAAAACAATATTTTCCAATTGAAAAATATACAGGGTTATAAAATCATAGGCTGGGAAAAGATCCAGTCAAATTCAAAATACACCAATGGATTTTAATGTACCAGATGATAAAAAGTTTACTGATACGGTTTCAGTTAACACATTGCAACTAACTTTTAATAGACTACACTTTGTGGAGTTTTGGTATAGTATAAAAGAAGAATATGCAATATTACCTAAATATATTATTGAGAGATTGCCTGCCATAAAAACAGCATGAGTTTGAGTGAGAAAAGTAATTCCATCAGCCTCCTCTTGTTCCCCAAAATGGCTAGCTACAGAGAGTTTGTCACTGAAGATTAAGCAAGTTTTTCCTCTTTTGAAATCTCCCCAAATCGCTTATCTACCCAATTGCAGCCAACCAAGTGAGAGAGCTGAGTATAAAGGGGTCACCAGAGAACCCCCAACCCACCTGTCCCTGGGATGAGTGCACACTGGGATGGAGCCTCGGGAAGTTTGTTCATTTGCAGTGGGGAGGAGCTTGGCCCCTCCTCTTCCTGGGTGGAACCTGGAATTCAATCTGTGAGGCAGGACGCACACTTGCAGGACCCTAGCTTTGCAGAGAGTCCTGTTTCCCTTTCTGTCCATTTTTGCTCAAAAATTCCATTTTTTTCAACCTTCAAAGTGTCTGCGAGTCTAATATCTCATGGCCATGTGACAAGAAACTGGCTCTTAGCTGAACTAAGGAAAAAGTCCTACGACACAAGGACACAAAAATGTACCTGAAGAACAATTAGAAAGTCTCCACCACTTTCAAAAATCCCGTAAGAGTGTTAAGAAAACTTGCTAATCAGAGTCTATCTATCTCAGGACTTACTCCTTTTCCTCTATAAAACCAAAACTTCCTTCAAATACCTTTGAATCCTGCTGAAAAGAGCATGGCCACAGATAGTTTCCTTTAAGGCTGCATGATCAGGAATAAGTAGCATTTACTAATTTTGTCTCAAATTTAATTTTATCTTTGACATTATTAAAATAATTATTCCTTTTCCTACTATATTTCTGTGTAAGCCTGATTTTTTATACTTTAACCAAAACAACATATTATAATAGGTTGAATGCAAAAGAGTTTTGAGAATTCAACTATTTCCTAATAAGCCAGATAGATTTTAAATCTGCAATAATGTAGAAAAATGCTACTCTTCTCACCAATTATTTTTTAGTTTAGAAATGTATTTTTAGAAAGATACGTTATTTAGGTTAACATGTAATGGGTTAATCTTGCTATTTTTAAATTATTCAATAAACTTTTAAATCTCAGTTTTAATTTCAAGTGTAGTAAATATTAAAAGATATAAGCCATAAAACAAAATTATTTGGGGTCTTCAATATTTTAAGGGTGCAGCGGTGTCCTGAAACAAAAACTTTGAGAATTTCTTTCCTAGCCTTTCATTATGAGTTCTAATTCCCATAAATACATGAGATTTCTTATATATAGCAATTATGATAAAAGTACTCAACATATTTTAAAAATCCTTGAATTCAGACTTTTGTCCCCATCATGCACTTGTCAATACAATGTGTACTGTTCACAGTATGTCAAATAGGAACAACACAGGATAGCTACATGTCAAAAAGTAAAATTGGTAACACTTGAAACATACAACTGGATAGATTTATAGTGTGCATTAGTCAATGTGCTCCAGAGAAACAGAACCAATAAGACATATGATTAGATAGATAGATGCCAGATAGATAGATAGATAGATAGATAGATAGATAGATAGATAGATAGATAGATAGATTAGATAGATAGATAGATGATAGAAAATAGATGCTTAGATGGTTGGTAGGTAGGTAGGTAGGTAGACAGATAGATGGAAATTTATTATGGGAATTGGCTCATGCAATTATGGATGCCGAGAAGTTCCACAGTTTGCCATCTGCAGGCTGGAGAACTAGGAAAACCTGTGGTATAATTGAGTTTGATACTGAAGGTCTGAGAACCAGGAGCACCAATGTTCCAGGACAGAAGAAGATGATTGTTCTAGCTCAAGAAGAGAGAGAGTGAATTTTTCCTTCCTCTGCCTTTTTGTTCTATTCAGGGACATGACAAAATGGGGGATGCCCACCCACATTGAGGAGCAAGACTTTTACTCAGTCTGTTGATTCAAATGATAATCTTTCCTGGAAACTCATTCAAAGACATACCAAAAATACAATTTTTCCAGCTATCTGGCTATTCCTTAACTCAGAGGCAAGTTGACACATACAATTACACATCACAGAGTGTATTCCATTCATTAATATTTTGTACATATTTAAATTATGGTGGTGCTGAATTTAATTTCAAATAATCAAAAGAAAAAAGAATAGGGAAAAAAGCAATATTGTTTTTCTAAAAAAATGATACTGTGCCTTTTCTGACACATTTTAGCAATTACCAAAACTTTTGTTCACATTTTGTTTTACTTTACAATTATATCTTCAGCTGTATGCCATGGAAATGTATTTCTTATTTACTTCACAAGAGTACTTTTATAATGGAACAATTAACAACACACAAATTGTTAATTCCTTGTTAGTTTGAAACCATCTGGTGTCAAATTCTATACACGAGGGTGGGATTTGAAACAGACATGCTTCCCGCAACATGTTCAGTGTTAATCACCAGTGAAACCTGATGAAAATAGTCTCTCTGTTTTTAGAAATGCTTCTATTGTTTTAGACTTAAAAAAAATGGTATTATGTTCATTTTACAAGAATTTATATTGAAATTTAATTAAATTGTTTTTGTCCAGGGCAATAATAACATCTGTGTCAGAAGTTTTACAAGGAATAATATATGAGATGCATCATATTTATCTATAATCACATGTAACATGATCTGATCTGTGGAATCAGTAGTGTCTTACAGTGTTTTAGAGTTTTTTTTTTACATTTAGGGAATATTTTATAAAGTATATTACATTGTATGCTCAGTGTGGCTAAAAATAAAATGGTAGAAGCATAAAAATACCCCAAATTCCAAGTTCCATTACTTACTATGTATTTAAGTATACATATAAAATATATCTGAATCTTGATACATCATAAAAGAAGATGTGGCATTTTTATCATGTCATCCCTCTTCAAATTTTATTATTCTATCTACATTTTCATTCACCTAAGGTATCATGCTGACCCACTTACTTATTCCTTAATGATTTCTGATTATTCATTGGTCCAGATATTTCAGACTTTCCCCATGAAAATGGTGGGAGGTTTGAACAATTTGGAAAATCACGACTGTCAGTAGAGAAGTAGCTGCTTTCTTCTGTCACAGGCACAATTTGACAAGCTTGCTTGGGTTTCTGGAAAAGACAGTGGTTTTAAAATTCACTTTAAAAGCAATTCTCTTACCTTCAACTCACTTAGGAACTAAAAATAAGAAAATATTATTTACAAGGAAATCCAGAAACATATTTTATTATAGAAATTTCTCTGCTATTTGCAGTATAAGATAAATGAAATAAAATGGCTGTTAAGATCAACCTACAAGTTTTTATATTACTAATCAAAGGGCAGTGTTGGCTGGCCATGGTGGCTCCTGCCTGTGATCCCAGCACTTTGAAAGGCAGAAGTGGGTAGATCAACTGAGGTTAGGAGTTCGAGACCAGTCTGCCCAGCATGGTGAAACCCCATCTCTACTAAAGGAGGCTGAGGCAGGAGAATTGCTTGACCCTGGGAGGCAGAGGCTGCAGTGAGCTGAGATCATGCCACTGTACTCCAGCCTGGGCAAAAGAGTGAGACTGTCTCAAAAAAAAAAAAAAAAAAAAAAAAAAAAAAAAAGGCAATGTTGTCAAATACGGCCCAGATTTTGAAATAAACTACTGACTTTCATTTCATGGTTTGGTGGGGTAAAGGCTGAAGCAGGGCCAACATGTGGGTTGGAAACTCTACTGATATTAGCAGTGATAAAATAGCCAGAAAAAAAAAAAACAACATATTGCCAAATTACACCCTGAAAACATATCTCGTATCTAGCTTACTACCTTGGCGGAATGAGGCCTGGAAATGACCTATCTGGAACCGCAAAACAAATCTTGCTAAAGGGAAGAGCTGTGCTAATACACATTGCCAAATGTTCAAAACGTCACTGCATGGGTGTGTCTCTTCTGACGTATACCTGCTCCTGCTGACACATCCAAGAACAGCCCTATGCCTGAAATATTTGTGCCATCTGATTCTCCCCAGTTAGATGCCCCTTCTACCCAAAGTCATCTGCATGGAGTCTGGACCTGCCATTTTCCTCTCCCCAACAAGTATGGATATTGAATTTCTTATTTCCCCTCCCTCCCCAGTATTGAATTACCAACCCCAAATCCTCCTGAAGAAAGTAGCAGAGAACACAGCAGGAGCTAGGAATGGACAGAGATCTGCAACGCCTACAGGAAAATGTTCTGTGTTTTTTCAGTTCTGCTTGTGTTTGAACAATTGTTCCTTCCTTTGAAAGCTTTGCCCAGTGTATTAGTTTTCTATCACAACTGTAAAAAAAACAACACATTTACTAGCTCATAATGTCATAAACTTTTACCTTACAGTTTTCTAGGTCACAAGTCTGTCACAGGTCTCATAGGAGTCCAATCAAGGCATCTGCACAGCTGCATTCTTTCCTGAGGTTGTAGGGAGAATCAATCTCCTTGCCTTTTCAACCTTCTAGAGGCCACCCACATTCATTGACTCTTAGCCATTTTCCTCCATCTTCAAAGCCAGCATGTTTGCATCTCAGATGATTTTTTTCATGGCCTCGTCTCCTTCTTATCATATCCAGGGAAGTTTCTTCAATTTCAAGGACCCACAAGTTTAGATTGTTATTACTTGGGAAATGCAACATGATGTCCTCATCTCAAAGTCCTTAACTTAATCAAATATGCAAAGTCCTTTTTGCTATCTGGGGTAACATATTCACAGATTCTGGGGATCAGGATTTGAATATCTTTGAAAAATCATTTTTTCTGCTCACCATTCCAGAGAAAAATCCTACTGTTTTTGTCCATGAAAATAAACTTTGTCTTACTTTATTTTCACAAAATGTCTGTGTTTGTGGATTTTCTTATAATGGCCATTAGCAAAAATAAACAATTACATTGTGATTGGTTGATTTTAAATATCTCCTTTTATAGTTCAGCTCAGCACTCAAGTTTCATTTTCCTTTGTAAGGCTTAATGCAAATGGCTATGAAACTTAAGACTATTAAGTTTGATGTGCACATTTTTAATTCCCTCAACTGTGATAATTTAATGATCTGCAGTCTGCATAATAAAGACTCCATCGCTCAGATACTCATGCACCGAAAATGCAAACCCAAACATTTACTAACAAAAACTTAAAGAAAATGTGATCTCTTCAGAGATTTTCTTACTCCACTTACTTTTTAATCAAAGAAGATAGATCAAAGATAGAGAGCACACTTCTCTATCAAAAATTGTACTTTGTTAATTTTTCATTGCTTGCCCCATCCCTGTTCCAAAATATATTTCATCCAGTCACATGTAAAATCCAAAAATCCTTTTATTCTCCATACTGGCAATAGTTATTTCTTTTCTTGTGGGGTGGGGGGAGAGGGGAGGGGGGAGGGATAGCATTAGAAGATATACCTAATGCTAAATGACAAGTTAATGGGTGCAGCACACCAGCATGGCACATGTATACATATGTAACTAACCTGCACATTGTGCACATGTACCCTAAAACTTAAAGTATAATAATAATAAAATAAAATAAAAAATAAAAAAAAATAATTAAAAAATAAATAAACAAATGTGATTGTGAAAGATCCTTTTGTTTTGAGAAAGATAAATTCTATTTTATTTAGAAAATTATTATGATTACATGATTTCCAATTTCTTGGAATAATCTTTTTAGAAAAGAAAATAATATTTAAATTTGCTCTTTTATAAGTACTATATAACAAAAAGGCACCTGAGTATTGTAATTACTTCACATAACATAAAAGATCTATGTATGATTGAGACTCCATGTTCAATTATTTTAAAATCAGGTAGTATTATGAAAGGGTAAGAACACTTCTCCTTTGAAGGATGTGCCTATTTAGAAAAAATAGCTTTCTACTCTGCTTTCTTTTAATATTGTTGGTTCATATCATAATGTACCTATGTAGGAAGATAGTATATCTCTTAAACAAAAGGATAAAAACATTTTGACAATGTTGGTCTGAACATTGTGTGATATTCTATTAAAAACAGAATAAATGGGCAAATAAATAGGTCATGATGGATACTGAGTTGTCTGAGTGTCTTGAAATTTATTCCACTTGTTTTATTTGCTTTTTAAATGATAGTACTATTATAAATTTTCTTTTTATTTTTCTTAAATACTGACAAATTATAATTGCCTATATTTATGGGGTACAAAGTGATGCTATAATATATGTATGCAATGCGGAATGACTGAGTAAGGAGGCTAAGGGCTGGGGCAAATGAGATCTTCTCAAAGAGTAGAATGTTTCAATTAGACAGGAAAAATAAATTATAATACTTGAGGTGATAGATACGTTAACTAGCTTTCTTTGTTTGCTTTTAAGGAACAAAAAGAAAGGTTAGAGTCCCATTGATGTTCATATAATCTGTAAAATGATATTTATAAGATAGCATCAAGAAAAGAACTTCTTACCAAGGACACAGGCCTTGTGAGAAAATAAATACCATAGAAAAAGTGCTGAAAAAGGTTAAGTCTTTGCCCCTGGCCACGTCCTAAATGGTATTGCCTAGGGTTTCTTCTAGGGTTTTTATGGTTTTACATCTTACATTTAAGCCTTTAATCCATCTTGAGTTAATTTTCATATAAAGAGTAAGGAAGTGGTCCAGTTTCAGTTTTCTGCATATGGTTAGCCAGTTTTGCCAACACCATTTATTAAATAGGGAATCCTTTGGCCATTGCTTGTTTTTATCAGGTTTGTCAAAGATCAGATGGTTGTAGATGTGTGGTGTTATTTCTGAGACCTCTGTTCTGTTCCAGAGGTCTATATACATGTTTTGGTACCAGTACCATGCTGTTTGGGTCACTGTAGCCTTGTAGTATAGTTTGAAGTCAGGTAGCATGATGCCTCCAGCTTTGTTCTTTTTGCTTAGGATTATCTTGGCTATACGGGCTCTTTTTTGGTTCCATATGAAATTTAAAGTACTTTTCTCTAATTCTGTGAAGAAAGTCCATGGTAGCTTGATGGGGATAGCATTGAATCTATAAATTATTTTGGGCAGTATGGCCATTTTCATGATATTGATTCTTCCTATCCATGAGCATGGAATGTTTTTCCATTTGTTTGTGTCCTCTCTTGTTTACTTGAGCAGTGGTTTGGAGCTCTCCTTGAAGAGGTCCTCCACATCCCTTGTAAGTTGGACTCCAATGTATTTTATTCTCTTTGTAGCAATTGTGAATCAAAGTTCACTCATGATTTCGCTCTCTGTTATCGGTGTATAAGAATACTTGTGATTTTTGCACATTGATTTTGTATCCTAAGACTTTGCTGAAGTTGCTTATCAGCTTAAGGAGATTTGGGGCTGAGACGATGGGGTTTTCTAAATGTATAATCATGTCATCACCAGAGACGATTTGACTTCCTCTCTTCCTATTTGAATACCCTTTATTTCTTTCTCTTGCCTGATTTCCTTGGCCAGAACTTCCAATACTATGTTGAATAGGAATGGTGAGAGAGGGCATCCTTGTCTTGTGCCGGTTTTCAAAGGGAATGATTCCAGCTTTTGCCCATTCAGTATGATATTGGCTGTGGGTTTGTCATAAATAGCTCTTATTATTTTGAGATATATTCCATCAATACCTAGTTTATTGAGAGTTTTTAGCATGAAGGGGTGTTGAACTTTATCGAAGGCCTTTTCTGCATCTATTGAAATAATCAAGTGTTTTTTGTCATTGGTTTTGTTTATGCGATTGATTATGTTTACTGATTTTAGTATATTGAACGAGCTTTGCATCCCGGGGATGAAGGCAACTTGATCACAGTGAATAAGAATTTTGATGTGCTGCTGGATTCAGTTTGCCAGTATTTTATTGGGGATTTTTGCATGGATGTTCATCAGGGATATTGGCCTGAAATTTTCTTGTCTGGTTGTGCCTCTGCCAGATTTTGGTATCAGGATGATGCTGGACTCATGAAATGAGTTAGGGAGGAGAATATCTTTTTCTATACTTTGGAATAGTTTCAGACGGAATGGTAGCAGCTCCTGTTTCTACCTCCAATAGAATTCGGTTGTGAATCTTTCTGGTCCTGGGCTTTTTTTGGTTGGTAGGCTATTTATTACTGCCTCAATTTCAGAACTTGTTATTGGTCTATGAATTTTTCCTGGTTTTGTCTTGGGAGGGTGTATGTGTCTAGGAATTTATTCATTTGTCTAAAACACCAAAAGCAATGGCAACAAAAGCCAAAATTGACAAATAAGATCTAACTAAACTAAAGAGCTCCTGCACAGCAAAAGAAACTATCACCAGGGTGAACAGGCAACCTACAGAATGGGAGAAAATTTTTGTAAGGTATCCATCTGACAATGGGCTAATATCCAGAATCTACAAAGAACTTAAACAAATTTGCAAGAAAAAATAATCATCAAAAAGTAGGCAAAGGATATGAACAGACACTTCTCAAAAGAAGACATTTGTGCGGCCAACAAATGTATATAAAAAAGCTCATCATCACTGGTCATTAGACTAATGCAAATCAAAACCACAGTGAGATACCATCTCACGCCAATTAGAATGGTGATCATTAAAAAGTCAGGAAACAACAGATGCTGGAGAGGATGTGGATAAATAGGAATGCTTTTACACTGTTGATGGGAGTGTAAATTAGCTCAACCATTGTGGAAGATAATGTAGTGATTCCTCAAGGATCTAGAACCAGAAATACCACTCGACCCAGCAATCCCATTACTGGGTATATACCCAAAATATTATAAATTATTCTACTATAAAAGAACATGCACACGTATGCTTATTGCAGCAGTGTTCACAATAGCAAAGACTTGGAGCCAACACAAATGCCCATCAATGATAGATTGGATAAAGAAAATGTGGCATATATACACCGTGGAATACTACGTAGCCATAAAAAAAGATGAGTTCATGTCCTTTCCAGGGAGATGGGTGAAGCTGGAAACCATAATTTTTAGCAAACTGACACAGGAACAGAAAACCAAACACCACATTTTCTCACTTATAAGTGGGAGTTGAACATGAGAACACATGGACACAGGGAGGAGAACATCACACACTGGGGCCTATTTAGGGGTGGGCTGTTAGGGGAGGGATAGCATTAGGAGAAATACCTAATGTAGATGATGGGTTGATGGGGGCAAGAAACCACCATGGCACGTGTATACCTATGTAACAAACCTGCACGTTCTGCACATATATCTCAGAACTTAAAGTATAATTTAAAAAAAAAAGAAAAAGGTTAAGTCTGCTAAAGGTTCTCACAACTTGCAGGCATAACCGTAAGAGATTTTCATAAAATTGAGATAAAGATAGAGATGATTATTTTAGAATGCAGTTTTCAAGTGTGCTGGTTTTCTTCTCAACCCAATTTCCTTTTCTCCCCCAAACTCAAAACAATCCAAGTGTTTAATACAAAATGTAAAATATCAACCCTGAGATTACCCACTTATACTTTCTATGAGAAATATCAAAAATTGTTCACAAAAATAGGGAGAATAAAAGCAATTCCAGTCACATTTTTGTAAAAGGTAGACACAGACAGAGCTGCATCTCTTCAAAGATGAACAAACTGATAGAAAAACAGAAACAAAATAAATCATACATAGTTCCTTTGCAAGTGCAGCAGAGAAAGAGGGGAAAAGGAAAATGTCAGACAGCATAGAGATGAATAGCATGTTGGATGCATTACAACAGACGTGAAATAAAATTGCTGGCTAACACTACACCTTCTCTCAGGAATTCTAAAAAAAAGTACTCTTTAAAACAAAGAATGATAAAGTAATAGAATGTGATGAAAATAGAATTTATGAAAAAAATTAAGATGGGAATGCTAATGTACAATTTGCAAATATGATCAGGAACAACAAGGGCAGAATTAAAACATCAAAAAAATTCACAGACATTTAGAACCTATTTAAGAAAAATCTCAGAAAATTTAGAGAAAAACACATATAATTAATGACATAAAAGCAACATTATAATTTTGCAATATAACCGATGGAAATCCAACATAGAGATTATTGGTGTTCCTAACCAAGAGAAATAACAATAAATCCAAATTTTAAGTAACCTTTTCTAAATTTAATGAGCCAAAAAGTACTCAATTTGTTCTGAAAAAAGCAAAAAGTAAAGAGAAAATATTTAAATGAAAATGATCGTTGGATAGATGATAGATAGATCGATTTTACTTGGTAACGTTATTGAACTTAAAGTTTAAAAAAACTTATACAAATTCAAAAGATAATTTCACAAAAATCTGGTAACCTACAAAGCAAAACATAAAGGCAAGGCTTCCCTCAGCCTTTTCCTTAGAAGTGTTAGATACAGAGGCCAAAGGAACAGAATCTGCAGATTTTTGAGGAAGTAAAGATTGTCATCAGTTAATTTTATACTGATGCAAGTTATTATTCCTGACTGCAGAAAATGGAAGCAAAAATTTGAATTGCTGTGATTCAAGGAAAAGTTGTGATTCCTAAAAAGCTAATTTAAAAAGTTAAGCCAGTCAACAAATAGCTGTATCTCAAAAATAAAAATATAAATGGTGAAATAATACAGAAAAAATAAATTTAGGGTAGAGCCAATTTAAATAATTTACAATGTTATATTTTCAAGCAGAATAATTTTTATAAGGATAAAAATTGAATTAACATTCATAGCCTAAAAGGTAAGACCAAGACTATGCCAAAAAAAAAAAAAAGAAAATATTTTGGGTGGGTGAGGCTGGAGAAGAAAGAGAGATAAGAAGAGTACGGAATATGTTTTCCTGTTTCATTTAAGAATGTCAATTAATAATTTTTTCCTGGACATGTAAAGTTTAAAAATAATTATAATTGTTGTACATGTATATCCACCCTTTTACTAGAAAACAGGCTTTATACTTCTTAAGTTGCAAAGAAAAAAATGAACTCTAGTAACATGAAACATATACAATATATATATACACATATACACACACACACACACACATACATATATGTATATGAAAAATATTCAGGAAACAAGAAATGTGGAGAATCAAATGTAATTTTTCTCCAAGATGGCAGATTAGATGCCTTTAGTCTGCATCAACCATTTGGAAATAGCAAGATAGTGCATAAAGATAAACTCTTTCGGCATTAATTCAAGAAGGAAAATGAGAATCCACTGAAACTATGAAGGATGTCCCAGGTCCAAGGGAGAAACATAGCCAGCAAACAGCCCCATAGTGGTGTCCAGCCAATAAAACAGTGAAGCCCCAGTGTATGAGAGAGGCAGAGAACCCCCCTCTATGACTTACCTTTCCACTGGAGATCTGAGCAACCCACGTCGAGGGACAGCACTTTGTTTCTCCCAAGTCCCAGAGCTATCTTGGGGAGAGTCTTGAATATTCTGAGATTGAAAGACACCTGGAAAAGCTGAAGTCATTTTTTCAGACCTGAGACCAAGATCAGAATGCCATTTTTAATCCAGGCACATACAAAATCAACTATTCTTTGGCAACCTGGCAGTGTGGCCACACAAGTACTTTAGTCTTGGGCCAGATATTGGAGTGCTTGCTCTGGAGTAGGTTAGAGACTTCCACAGCTCCAACTGTGGAAGGTGCCTCAGCAGTAGATGCTGGAATTGTGCTCTTTCCCATCACAATCCTGGGGCAAGAGGAGAGCTGCTATAGCTACAGTTTCTCCTGGATGATGAGACTTGCACCCAGGGCCAGTGTGGCAATCTGGAACTGGTCTGTGTGTGTCATTACTGGGTGCCCTACCTTGCTCCCCTGAAGTCAAGGTACAGCAGGGCCCTCTCTGTTCCATTCCCAGGCAGTAATCCAGGCAGCTGGAGAATCTGCTTGCCTGTAGCAGAAGCCCAAGCTGCCCCACCCTTCCTGGACATAGATCATGGTGTAGCCAGGCTCTCTCTGCTCCATGCCTAGGGAGGTCTCCAGTCATTCAGGGCACCCTCTCACTTGATTTGTCAGCCTGAGAAGGCCCATCATCCTATGCAAAGAACTTGGTGCAGGGGGGCTGTTTCTGCTGCATACCCAGGCAGATCTCCAGTCATCTGGAGCATCCACTCTACTGGATTAGCAGTTTAGGCTGCCTGTCATTCCCATGCAGATAACTTGGGGCCAATGAGGTCTCCTACCTCCATAGCTAGGTACACCTTTGTGTGCTCGATGGCTACCCACTGGATGCTGTCATGGTGCTGGTGCTTGTGCCTGCCATTAAGGGACCTGTAGGCAGACTTGCCCAGTCCAGCCCTGAGCATTGTGGCCCCTGCCTCCCTGGGGCTGAGTGGGGAGATCAGAACACTGTGCACTGCATGAGTCAGCAGCCCATTGCCTGAGGCAACAGAGAGCTTCCTCCAGTAAACAAAGATCAAGTATATACTGAGATGCATTGGCTACAGCTGGCTCTTACCTGTAAGATACATCTACCAGCTTGTAACTTGAACTGCACACCTCAATATAAAATCTGCTGACAGAAGTGCATAGGGCTATAGAAGCAAAGCCAAAAGACCCTACCCAGCATTCTCTACAGTCAAACACACATCCCCAGTGGGAGGGGGAAGAGAAAGGGAAAAAAATACAAAAATATTATAGGGAAAGAAAGGAAATGAAAAAATTCTACCTCAAAAAATAATTAGATCAATTACAAATCCTAGTGTTACCTAATTAGAAAGGAACCAGTGCAAGAATTCTGGCACCATGAAAAACTTGAATATAGTGACATCACCGAAGGATCACAGTAGCTCTCTAGCAATAGTCCCCAGCCAAAATGGAAACTCAGAAATGGCAGATAAAAAATCCAAAGCATGGATTGTAGGGAAGCTCAAAGAGATACAGGACAAGTTTGTAAATCACCACAAATAAACTTCTAAGGTAGGCCGGGCACGGCGGCTCACACCTGTAATCCCAGCACTTTGGGAGGCCGAGGTAGGCAGATCACCTGAGATTGGGAGTTCGCGACCAGCCTGACCAACATGGAGACACCCTGTCTCTACGAAAAATAAAAAATTAGCTGGGTATGGTGGCGCATGCCTGTAATCCCAGCTACTAGAGGGCTGAGGCAGGAGAATCACTTGAACCTGGGCGGCAGAGGTTGTGGTGAGCCAAGATGGCGCCACTGCACTCCAGCCTGGGCAACAAGAGTGAAACTGCATCTCAAAAAAAAAAAAAAAAAAGAAAAAGAAAAGAAAAAAGAAAGAAAACCTCAATAAATGTTTAAAAAATCAAAATCATACCAATCATACCCTTGGACCACAGTGGAATAAAAAGAAAAATAAATACCAGAAAGATTTCTCAAAACCACACAATTTCATGAAAATTAAACAACTTACCCATTGATGACTTTTGAGAAACAATGGCCTTCAGAAAGAAATTTTTCAAATCTTTAAAAAAGTAAAAACAGAGACACGGCATACTAGATTCTCTGGGATACAGTAAAGGCAGTGTTAACAGGAAAGCTTATAGTGCTAAAAATACCCACCTTAAAAAGTTAGAGAGATCTCAAACTAACAATGTAATATCACACCTAGAGGAACTAGATAAACAAGAACAAACTAACCCCACAGCTAGCAGAAGAAAATAAATAACTATATTGGGAGCGGAAGTGAATGGAATTGAGACCCCAAAATCCATACAAAGAATCAATGAAACCAAAAGTTGATTCACTGAAAATATAATCAAGATCAATGGACCACCAGCTAAATTAACAGATTAAAAAAGAGAAAATCCAAATAAGCATGATCAGATATAACAATGATGACACTGCAACCAATCGCACAGAAATACAAAAGATCCTTTAAGACTATTATGAATGACTCGATACACACAAACTATAAAATCTAGAGGAAATGAATTTCTGGAAACACACAATCTCCCAAGATTGAATCAAGAAGAAATTGAAACTCTGAATAGGCCAATATTGAGTACTGAAATTGAATCCATAATATAAATACCTATTAGCCAAAAAAAGTCCCAGACCAGATGGATTCACAGACAAATTCTACCAGATGTACAAAGAAGAGCTGGTACCAATTCTACTGAAACTTTTCTAAAACATCAAAGAGGAGGGATTTCTCTCTAACTCATTCTACAAAGCCAGCATCAGTCTGCCACTGAAGTTTGCAGACACAAATGAAAAGGAACACTAAAGGCTATTATCCTTAAAGAACATAGATGCAAAAATCTTCAACAAAATACTTGCAAACTGAATCCAACAGCCTATCAAAAAGTTAATTCACCACAATCAAGTTGGCTTTATTCCTGAGATGTAGGGTTGGTTCAATGTACACAAATCAATAAGTAGCCAAAGCAATGTTAAACAAAAGTATGAAGCTGGAGGCATCACATTACCCAACTTCAAACTATACTATAAGGCTACAGTAACCAAAACAGAATGGTACTGGTTAAAACAAGCAAACAAACAAAAGGAAAACAGATACATGGACCAATGGAACAAGTTAGAGAACACAGAAACAAAGCCATACAATGACAGCCACCTGATCTTTGACAAAGTTGACAAAAATAAGTAATGGGGAAAGACCCCCTATTTAATACATGGCACTGGGATAACTGGCTAGCTACATACAGAACAATGAAACTGGACTCTCACCATATACAAAAATTAACTCAATATAAATTAAATATTTAAATGTAAGATCTCAAAATATAAGAATTCTAGAAGAAAATCGAGGAATCACCATTCTGGACATCAACCTTGGGAAATAACTTATGATGAAGTTATCAAAAGCAATTGCAATAACAGAAAAGGACAAGTAGATCTAATTAAACTAAAGAGCTTCTGTACACCAAAATAAATAATCAACAGAGTAAACAGAGAAACATCTAATACCCAGAATCTATAAGGAATTTACACAACTTAACAAGCAAGAAACAATCCAATTTAAAAATGAGCAAAATTTCATTCAGTTCTTCTCTGATTTTGGTTCATTCTTTTCTTCTGCTAACTTTTGGATTGTATTTTTTTCTTTCTAGTTCCCCTAGATGTGATGTTAGATTACTAATTTGAGATCTTTCTAACCTCTTGATGAAGGCATTAAGGACTATAAACTTTCCTCTCAACACTACTTTATTTGCAACACAAAGATTTTGGTAAATTGGTCTGTATTTTCATCAATTTCTTTTTTTTTTTTTTATTTCTGGCCTTATTTTTTTTGGTTCGCCTAAGAGTTATTCAGGAGCAGTTTGTTTTATTTATGTTTTTGTGTAGTTTTGAGAGATTTTCTTAGTATCGATTTCTATTTTTATAGCATTGTGGTCCTATAGTGTGATTGGTTTGATTTACTTTAAAAAAATTATTGAGAATTTCTTTATGATCAAGTATGTGGTGGATCATAGAATATGTTGTGTGTGTGGATGAGAAGAATAAATATGCTGTGGTTTTTTGTTGAGGGGAATATTGTGTAGATATCTTTTAGGTTCAATTGGTCAAATGTTGAATTTAATTTCATAATTACCTTGTTAGTTTTCTGCGTCAACAATTTGTCTAATGTTTTCAACAGAATAATGAAGTTCACCACTATTATTGTGTAGCTGTCTAAGTCTTTTTGTATGTCAAGAAGAGCTTATTTTATGAATCTAGGTGCTTTATAGTGTTGGGTGCATATTTATTTATGATAATTAAGTGTTCTTGTTGAATTGAACCCTTTATCATTATATAATGCCCCTCTTTGTCTTTCCTGATTGTTGTTGGTTTAAAGTCTGTTTTATCTGATATATAAACAATGACTTCTGCTCTTTTTGTTTGTTTGTTTTCTGTTGGCATGGTGGATCATTTTCCATCCCCTTACTTTAAGTCAGTAGTTTTGATGCAAATCAGAATTACAATGAGATATCATCTCACACAGGTCAGAATGGCTATTATTAAAAATTCAAAAAAAAAAAAAACCCAACAGATGCTAGCAAGACTGCAGAGAAGTGGGAAAGCATATACACTGTTGGTTTGAATGTAAATAATTCAGCCACTGTGGAAAGCTGTTTGGAGATTTCTCAAAGAACATGAAACAAACTACCATTCAACCCAGCAATCCCATTACTGGGCATATATCCAAAAGAGAACAAATCATTCTACCAAAAATAAACATGCACTAACACGTTCATTGTATCACTACTCACAATAACAGAGACATAAAATCAAACTTGGTTCCTGTCAGTGGTGGACTGGATAAAAATGTGGTACATATACACCGTGAGATACTATGCAGCCATAAACAGGAATGATATTACATCTATTACAGCACCATGGATTCAGCTGAAGATCATGATTCTAAGTTAATTAATGGAGGAAGAGAAAACCAAATACTGCATGTTTTAATTATAAGTGGGACTTAAACATTGGGTACTCATGGACCCAAAAATGGCAGCAAAAGAAATGAGGGACTACTCGGCCAGAGTGGGGGAAGCTGTTGAAAAACTATTGGATACTCTTCTCAGTATCTGGATGATAGGATAATTAATATCACAAATCTCAGCATCACACAATTTACCTAGGAAACAAATCTGCACATATACAACCGAATCTAAAATAAAAGTTGAGGGGAAAAAAAGAAAATAAAATACTAAACAAGTACATTTTACATTGTATATGATAAATCTATTTATTAAATAAAGACTCACTTTAGAAGCATACATAAATTTTACTATAGCTATCACATCAAAAACTAAGGGATCTAAAATTTAAAATTTAGAAAATCAACGTAATTTTGACAAATGCAAACCTTAAAAATTAGGTAGTACAGTATTTGTGTTAAACAAATTTAAATTAAAATTAACATTGAAAAGAACATTTGAGCTTCCATTAAAATGATTAAAGGAGCAAACTGCAATGAAATTAAAATTGTATTGATGGGAAACAGATATACAGACAGGTAAAAATATTTGAAATTCATAGCTATTGATAGGAATATAATATGAAGTTAGACACAATAATCTCAGTCATTTAGATTTCAAAGTGATTTTTGAAAGGATAAGAAAAATACAAAAAGTATAATCATTGTAATTTTTACAAACATACTAATTTTATTTATCCCACAAGTATAATAGTGGTGCTTCTTGCCTTATAATGGGGTTACATCCTGATAAAAGTTGAAAATGTATTGAATACACCTAACCTACCAAACATCATAGCTTAGCCTAACCTACCTTAAAGATACTCAGAACACTTACATTAGCCTACAGTGGGCAAAACAATCTAACATAAAGTCTATTTTATATAAAAGTGTTGGACAGTCTAGGTAATTCACTGAAGACTGTGCTGAAAGTGAAAAACAGAATGGTTATATGGGTACTCAAAGTACAGTCTACAGAATGAGTATTGCTTTCACACCATCATAAAGTCAATACATTTTTAAGTGGAACCATTTTAATTTGGAGATTGTCTACATACATCTTCATTTTTCATGCTATGAAACATTTTCAAAAACTCTTCCTGATAAATTTATATTCACAGCTTGTAATGTCAAATGAGATCTTTGTTTCTTACCTTTAGAATTTTTAAGTTTAATTCTTTACATTTTATTGTACATCTTTCCTTAAATTTCATTTTCTCTTACTACATAATTTGTCTTCATAGTTACTGTCAGGAAAAGTGGTTGCAGCATTGACAACCCTGGAGACAGTCAGGTCCACAATATGAGAAGTCAACAGACTTTCTTCCTCATATGTGCCAATAGCACTTTTTAATTATAATGGCACCCAAGAGATGTGCTTCCACCTTTAAATTGTTACATGACCTTGAACATAGTACATGCTCAAAAAACATTTGTTGAATGAATGAACAAATCAATGTGTGTGTGTGTGTGTGTGTGTATGTGTATGTGTTTGCTTTTCTGTCAAACATCTTGTGGTTTCCTTATTAAGTTTTGTTCTGTAAGTGTCATAATCTCCAGATTTATGACTACTGAACTTGGTTGTGGGGGAAGAGGCACAAAATCTGTGTGCTATATTGCTGGAGGCAATGCTAGCTGTGTGATTATTTCATGTGAGACACCCTCTGCTAGGCACTACCTGTGGTTTATTGAGAAACGAGTTAGTTTTGAAATATCCAACAGACGTTCATAGGAGGAGGCAGATTAGAAAGTGTTTATTCAGGCTTCTGGCAACAATTCTTAATCAGCGATCCTCTAACATTTATTTCTAATTTGGTTTACGTACAATTTCTGCAGGATGGAGAAGATATCCTAGTGGGTTGTCTCTCGGTTTTCTTTCAGGGCTGTGAAGAAGAATAGGAAGCCAGCTAGAGTTAGAAATAACCAATTTTTTTAAAAAAGTATGTCATATGAAAGGTTATGATAATCTGAAAGGATTCTTATCAGGAACCATTCAAAATGTTTGAACCCATGAAAACTACCCGTTTGCAACTTTCATCATGAGTCTTTCTCCTTGGGAAGAGAAATTTTGTGCTAGTGTTGCTTCAGTTTGTATTATCTCACCCTTTGGCCAGACATATTCGGAGTATCTAAGGCTCACATCATGATTTTTACTATTTCATGAGACTTTTCCTCACTTAAATTCTTGTTTGCATAGTTTGAGTCCCCAACTGAATAGTTGCTTTCTCCATTTGGAAGAAACTAATAAAAACTAGTTGCACAATGACCAGTTGCAGAAGATATTCATTCCAATAAAGTGGCAGTTTATAAGCTTACTTCTCAAGTTCTTCTTCCTCTTCACCTAAATAAATTTTTTGCAGTCTACAGAGGCACTTCACGCCTGCCAGTTCGCAAATAACCCCGGATCCTGGGCAGCTGAGTTGGCCCAAAAAGAAGCTTTCATGATCTCCAAAATCTAACTCGATATCTGGTGTGGGGCAAGCTCTGTCCACACATACTGATTAGACTTATCAAACGACAATAAACAGCTTAAAGTGGCTAAGATTTAATGCTTGTAACTAACTTCTACATCCTGTTCAGTGCTTTCCATGTTCATCACAATGGCTGGATTCCTCTCTTGGAATATGTATGGAAGAGATCAAAAAGTTAAATATTTCGATGACTTATATTTTCCTATAGTGCAGGGGACTCAGCACATTTGTGTGTGTGTGTGTGTGTGTGTGTGTGTGTGTGTGCAGGGTCATATAGTCATCTTTTAGACTTTGTGAACCTTACAGTTTCTTTGCAACTGCTCGAGTGTGCTATTAAGCACAAAACCAGCCAAAGACAATATGTAAATCATAAATCACTGGATATGTTTGTTTTCCAATAAAACTTTATCTGTGGATAGTGGAGTTTGAATTTCGTATTATTATCATGTATTATAAACCATTCTTCTTCTGATTTTTTTCAACCACTTGAAAATATAAATAGTCATACATAAATAGACAGTAGGCCAGATATGGTTAACAGGCTATAGTTTGCTGACCTATATATTGAATATATTAACTTCAAAATATATTGAAAAGGGTAACTATGTAATATAATGATATATGTCAATTTGCTTGACTGTAACAACTGTTTCACTATGTATATGTATAATAAAACATCATTTTTCACCTTAAGTGTATACAATTTCTATCATCTATCTATCTATCTATCTATCATCTATCTATAAAAGAAAATATTCATATCTAAGTATCCCTTTTTTCTGCCCTGACCATAAGCAAAATCCACTGATGGAACTAAGTGGGAACTGGCCGCTCACTCTGATCTGTCAACTCCAGGCTAGAAAACCATGAAGCTCCTTGGCTCGTACTTCAAAAATCTGTTCCAGTTCTAATTCAGGTCTCTGACAACTTGGAAGTGATTTGCCTTCATTCTTTATCCCTCCTGTCAAGGCAATGGCTCTCCGCATGGTTTCTTAACCACATTTGGAGAATCCACTAATGTTCACTTATTCCCATAGAGCAAATAATTAACTAAAACTCAAAATAGGAAGCGAGTTTCACGATGTCCTGCTTGCAACCATTGAGTAATGGGAGGTTGGTTTTCTTTTAAACTAATTATGAGGAAGAAAGTACATGACTTTTAAAAATGTTAAAGTATTTTTTCAGCTAAAACATGAGCATGTTTTAAAAGTTAAAAAACATTCTAATAGAATAGTAGTGAAATAGCCAACTAAACTCAAGTCCTGTTTATTATTTATTTCATGTGGTATTTACTTTCATTTTTTAATAGTAGTGCTTATCTTGCCATTTTATTTAACATTGGTAAGCATAATCTCCTGACTTACTATCATGTTTAAATCAGCTCACATACACTACCACTAGCAGATCTCCCCTTTTCTCTTTCCCTGCTTCTGTATAATGTAGTTACATTACAATTTTTGGTTAAATCAATTTTTAGCTATTACAAAGTTACGACCATATAAGAATTATTTTCTTTGAGTCAAGTAATGCATTATGTTTACATTTACATTTATTTAGTTCTGCAACTTTTTCACTTCCCCTAGAATCAATTGGCTCTTATTTATATGCTCATTTCTCTACGTACCTATTGCCAATTCTTCACACTGTCCAATAGCCTGAAACAACCTCTCAATAAAGTATTCTAAAAAAGAAAATACCACCCATTTGTCTTCCTGCTGCATGCATTTGTTTTCCTCCTACCAAGCCTTCCCTTTTCTTGGTCAACTCTGGACTAAGAATGCATCCAAGGATGTTTCAGTTCTTCTATTTCTTTTACTCTTACTCTGAAAATTCTCATTATTATTTTCCTTTGTCAGTTGCTCTGTTTTCAAGATCCCATATTTTTCTTTTTCCAGGTGTAAGCACTAATTTTTGTGGATCTCACCATGCTAAGATAGAGATCACACGAGTGAATTTTTTGGAGACTTATTTATTTAAAAAATTATCAGAATTTTTCACTAAAATACTCCCAAAATTAATGGATTATTTATTTCATCCAGGTATATAACTTGAGATTGAAATTAATTGCTACTCAAAGTTTTTGAGATTTTTATCCACTTTCTTCTAGCTTCCTGATCTTCTGAGAATTCTTTTTTTCTGCATTTCGAGCTATTATCCTCAATTCGAACAAAATCATACTCATCAGTATTGTATTACATATGTTTTTATAAGTGATTCTGAGGAAAAGCAGTGTACCAGAGGTATTATACTAACTTGAAATGTGATATACCACACCTGGGTAAACTACAAGGAGCTTTGTTAAATTTTTCACATATAATCACAACGTGGAATTAACAGGTTTAAAACATAACAACTATAGAAATAATAGGGAAATAAATCATAAATATTGGATGGGAAAGTGATTTCTTAATGAGAGAGAATGTTTGCTTATTGTGGAAAGGATAGCCACCATGAAAGTAAAAATAATCATCTACAATTTGCATATAATTTGCTAAAAACAAAGATAGCCACTAAATTCTGAAGTAGGTGAGATGTGTTTAAATTAGAAACATATATACAAGAAATGCAGAAGATAAGGTCTAAGTAATCAATACAATTTGGAAGAAAGTATTGCTGAGAAATAAAAATTTATAAGAAAAAATAACATCAATGAAAGAAAGAAGGTTGGAAAGAATGCTGTTATTTCAGGACTCTAATGTATGGTAACCCTCTTCCTCATCCAAATTCAGAACCAATTGAGAGGTAGACAAATGGGTTAAGTAAATTGCAGTAGACTCTTTTTTTTTTTTTTTTTTTTTTTGAGACTGAGCCTCGTTCTGTTGCCCAGGGTGGAGTGCAGTGGCGTGATCTCGGCTCACTGCAAGCTCCGCCTCCCGGGTTCACGCCATTCTTCTGCCTCAGCCTCCCCAGTAGCTGAGACTACAGGCGGTCACCACCACGCCCGGCTAATTTTTTGTATTTTTAGTAGAGACAGGGTTTTACCATGGTAGCCAGGATGGTCTCGATCTCCTGACCCCGTGATCCACCCACCTCGGCCTCCCAAAGTGCTGGGATTACAGGCGTGAGCCACCCCGATGGCCTAGACCCTTTATGATAATCTCCCATGAACAACGGGTCAAGTAACTAACTGGCTTTTAACTTGCTTTTAATACAGCTTACATGAGTGACCTTAGCTAAACCACATGGATCAAAAGAACTACTGAGTCTAGTCAACCTGCAGAATTAATGAGAAAAAAAATGAATTTGTTTTGTTTTAAGCCACTAAATATTGGATGGATTTGTTATTCAGCAATCAGCAACTGAAACACTGATGTAGGTCAAATGACTGAGCTGTGGGAAAACATGGCTTAGGTACATAGTCTAATGGGCTTTCTAAATCTAAGCCCCAGAATTAGTCTTACCCATTTCTGGAATGAGGCTTACTCAACCACCAAGCCTCCGTGCTCTAATGATCTGCCCTCATCACAAACGTTCAGTCTGTCCCATGTAAAGTTTACAGCATGGAGTAGCAGCACTGAGTACATTCTGTGCAAGTAGAAACACTCGAAAGAGAAAAAGAAGTCAGGCTTGGCCAAGCAACCTCAATTTTAGCTGTTGAACTTAATCAGATAACTCATTCATTTTTCCCAGGGAATTCAGAGAGCAGAGAGTAATTAAGGAAATAGAGACAAAAATGTCACCTTTACTGTTGTCTCTTCTCATGAAAACATAGAGTAGATGTAAATCCCCAGTCCTTATTCCCACCATTACCACCCAACAGAGGCTACATTTTATTCTGTATACAGATCCCCTAACTTTCATGGCACCTCATTTTCCAATCTGAATTTCTGATGAAGTTTTATGATCTTTAAGGTGCAGGATATGTCTTATATAAGTTATTTCTCTCTCTGCATTCAACTCAATACCTGACATGGGGTAGGCATGTTGGGTTGAATGAATGAATAAAAGCTTACAACCACAATTTTCGTGTTCATACTTCATCAGAGAATTCATTCACTCCTTTTTACCATGTGAAACAGGAATTGAAAATAAAACAGTGCACACTAAGTATTTGTGATTTCTGCTTAAGTCCTAGTAAATGCACTTTTAAAATCACCTTCGAGCCAGGTGCGGTGGCTCACGCCTGTAATCCCAGCACTTTGGGAGGCTGGAGATGGGCGGATCACGAGGTCAGGAGATCGAGACCATCCTGGCTAACACGTTGAAACCCCATCTCTACTAAAAATACAAAAAATTAGCCGAGCGTGGTGGTGGGCGCCTGTAGTCCCAGCTACTTGGGAGGCTAAGGCAGGAGAATGGCATGAACGCGGGAGGCGGAGGTTGCAGTAAGCCGAGATAGCGCCACTGCACTCCAGCCTGGGCGACAGAGCGAGACTCCATCTCACACACACAAAAAAAATCACCTTCAACCCCTACGCTGTATGATGGACTGAATGAAATTTTCATCTTGCAAGGATTCTTATGTGCAAAATTTATATGTGTTTGACCCCTCTACTTTTTTCTCATTATTCAAGCTTTTTAGATATCTTTCTCTCATTTTAATAATTATATGCCATGATGAGGTTTTTCATATTAATTATACTGAGCATTTATATGTCTAGGAATTTGTGCAATTTAATGCTGAAGATAATCATTACATTTTCCTATAGTAACTTTTTCATCATTTGCCTTTCTTTTTTACAAAATTATAGTCAAGTTGGATGTTTGAGTATCTACATTGATTTTGTCATTTCCTATGTTTTCTCTCCTATTGTTCTCTTTTTCTTTGTTGGCTTTCACTTGAAAGAATTTTTTTTTATTCCTTTTACTTTTCCACCTTACATTGAAGTTTCAGTTTTTAAATTTACCTTTTTTTTCAATATCTAAGAGTTTTTTTTAATTTTCTGGTTTTTATTTTTATAGCATCTTATATTTGATTCCATTCTCAGAAGATTTTTTTTTAAACTAGTTGCTTTTTATGTTTTGCACTTTGTCTATTTCATCAGAGTCCCTTTGCTTCTGTTTGTTTTGTTCACTGGCTTTTATGGTAAATGTTGTCCTTAGAGATCTAATTATCCTGGGACTCACGCACATAGCCAGCAATGAAACAAGAAAAAGTTCATAGAAATGTTTACTTCGTTAAGGAAAACCTTGTATGAATGGAAGTTTGTTTCACAAAAAGTACTTATAAGCGAAATCTAGTAGTGTTGAGTGTTAGAATACGAAAGATAAAAGCATATCTTATTTTTATAGAAAATCTTGGAGCCTGGGTCATAGGCTATATTATCATTATATCTGGTTCAATTGTTATTATCTATAAAATATTTTAGATTTTATATAAAGAGAATTTTGCATCAACTCTACCTGACTTAATTGCTCCAAATTCCACGTACATCTATAATTCTAATACTTTTCTAATACCAAGAAGATGAAAAGTGATGGATTTTTATATTTTCACCAGTAATGTTTTGCTTTGAAAGGATGCATTAAAGTTGATATCCAGTCATTTGATGGGCCATTGTTTATGGCTAAATAGGATTAATATATTTTTTTAAAGCCCCATCATTAGAATGACTAAAACAATCATATGGTAACTTGAACAGCTAGACTTTTCTTTTTGCAGAGTTGAGCAGAAACATGGCTTATAGTTTCCTCAAATCATTCTTGAGCTCCAGACAAAGTGCTGGACCTTGGAACCAACAAGAAGGTTAGTGGTAACAATATTTAGGCAAAAACAAAGCTGTGGGTGAGAGGTCCCTTATCCATAGTATATGTCCACTCCTGTCTCTTCTCAGGCGTTCACATGTTTTCACTGTGTCAGTAACGGTGAGTTAGTTTGATTTCATCATATAAAATTAATATCTGTTCTTATAAATGTTCACTGGTTTTACATGCTGTGACACTTCTGCAAATGTGACACTTCTGTTTAGGGTTCATAGCTTTTACAGAATAGTTACTTTAGTCAAAGAAACAAAGAATGATAATATATAAAATTTAGTATGTTCCTGGCATAGTTCTGAGGTCCTTATATGTATTAACATATTTAATCTACATTTAATTCAGGAGTCTTGTGGTGTTATTATTATACCTGAATTTTGCGAATAAGAAAAGTGAGAAAAAAGAGAAGTCAAGTAATTTGTACAAGATCCTATAGTCAGTAAGCAGCAGAATTTGGGTTTGAACTTGGGTTATGATGACACTTTACACCACTAAGTTCTGCTGTACTTCAGAGAAGAAATAACAGCCACAGCCTATTTTGGTTTATATAGAGGAATAAAATATCATAAGCAAAAAACTAAATCTGGCCGGGTGCTGTGGCTCATGCCTGTAATCCCAGGACTCTGGGAGATGGAGGTGGGCGGATCACACGATCAGCAGATCAAGACCATCCTGGCCAACGTGGTGAAGCCCTGTCGCTACTAAAAATACAAAAAATTAGCTGGGCATGGTGGTGCGTGCCTGTAGTCCCAGCCACTCAGGAGGCTGAGGCAGGAGAATTGCTTGAACCTGGGAGACGGAGGTTGCAGTTAGATGAGATCACGCCACTGCACTCCAGCCTGGGTGACAGAGGGCGACTCTGTCTCCAAAAAAAAAAAAAAAACAAAAACAAAAAAACAAACAAACAAAAAAAAAACACGTAAATTTAAGTCTCAATCAATGTTCTGTATATTTCAATAGTAGTAACAATGCAAGTGCAGTACTTTATGATTTACACATTTCTCATTTATTCCTAAAAACAACCCTTATTCTTTAAACTATGTGGAGGATGCTAGTAGACTATACTGATCTGAAAAAAAAAATTACAGTAAAAATAAATTTCTTAATGAATTTTTAGGTTTATTTTAAGTATGTGCAAGTATATAGATATAGGTCAATAAAAAACATCATAAATTATTAAACAACTTGCTCTTTTCATCCAGCACTGTGCAATGATCACCTTTCAAGTACCACAAGATAAAGGCAAGAGAAAACTCTACCACAAGAACCTAAAGTATATACTGGGATGCCTTCCAGAAAATGAAAGTGGAGTCCTTTCCACATATATATGGTTTATGGTATTAAGAAATGCTATCTCTGAGCCCAGTCCTTGAACACAGATTCTGGGAACTAGAACCATGGATGTAATCTACAAGACATTCAATAAAGATCTGTAATGTGCTCATCAATAGAACACTGTGACTGCAGATTGGTAAGTCTCTCTGGCCATTGCCCTGAAGCCTTAAGAAAGGGACCGAACTGATATTTGAGGAGACTGAGATTTTAAGTAGAACAAAGTCAAATGAAATACAGGAAAAAAAATAGTAAAAGGAAAAAGACAAACAAAATCTACAGCTTTCTAGGGGACTAGGACCCGCAGAAAAATCTTCTCGTGTCAAAGACTGGCTTGTGTGGCTGAGCAGATGGCTTAGAGTTCTGTCTGAGGAAAATCAAGGTCCAGAGACAAAATGAACCCTCTCTCCTCTCTTTTTAGCTCATGCAATAAGGATGTTTATTGTTTAAAAATAATCTACTGCAAATTTACTGCGTATTTCTGCTGGCAGGCAAAGATTAGAAGAGCAGGGCAGGCGGGCATCAGCAAACATTTCTAATTTTAAAACCACTTTAGTTAGACATACACTGCTGCAGCCATGTCAAATGAAATTTTTCATAGACTTTGTAAAGATAATTCATTATATGCATGACTTCCTAAGGTATATTCCTTTTTCCTGGAAATTCGTGGAATATTCAGAAAGCAGAATAGCACTCATAGTACATGCTAATATTAATGGGCTTTATAAACATACAATCAAATGATTAAAAGTTGTTTTATTACATCATCACTAAGAATGCCAGATTAACCTCAAACTCCAAGAACCCTTCTTCTTACTCATGGAAATTCCTCCTTTATTTTGTTCTAGGTTTGGATGAAATACTGAGTTACAATGGCTTCTTCAGTTTAGCTCTCTGAGCTCTACTTGCTGATTTTGTATTTTGTAGATTTAATCCTAGTAACTGCTGTTAGTATAAGTTGCTTAGCCTTAGTGATCATCATACGTAACTAGTTGGCCAGAAAAATGAACGAGCAAAAAACCAAAACAGGATACAACAAACAGAATACGCTCTTATATCCACAGCAATGGAATAGAAACACTTTTCTGTTTCAGACAAAAAGCTATCTACCAAAATCCTTTCTCCCTCTGCATAATACAGAATTGTAGCTTGAGGTTGAATAGTTAGGCAAGAGCTAAATTCCTCAGTTTCCTTTCAGTTATGGGTGATCATATCATTAGTTCTTCCCAATAAGGAATAAATGGAAGTGGTGTTTGCTGCTTCTGGACCACAGCTTTTAAGAAGTCTTTTCCATGTTTTCTTTTTCCCCAAATACTGACTGGATCTAATTGAAAATGATATCCTAAGGGATAATTGAGCTATGCGATAGAAGGAGCCTGGATGCTTGCAAAACCATGCAGAAGAGAGTGCTTCCAATACTCTGATCATTCACTAAGGACTGTTTTAGGAAAAAGAAATAAATGTTTATTCTCCTGAGCCATTACATTTTGGATTTAATTATCACTTCAGTCTTGCCCATCTTTACTAATATTATCTGCTACTGTTTATAAAACCTCTTTAAATTTTTCAAAGATCTTGAAGTCTGTAGAACCACCCAGGGGCTTTTGTTACTTTGCTTGCTTTCTAAGTGACACATACACACTTTGCAAATACTTGAATGTGTAATAGGCTTTTGGAGTGGAGGAAAGGTGGTGAATTTTTGTAACTGTTGGCAAGTAGTGGCAATCTTTTTACTGAAATGATAAATATGATATTAATAATGCATGTAGATGTATAGTGATTCTACCATTTCTTCAAAATAGAAATATATCCCCTTGAATTTAGCAAATATTATTGCTGTGCCCATCCACATCCATTGACAGGTTTGATGAGACCGCACATCCTGTTTTCCTTTTTCAGGCAGCAAAAGCTGTTTCATGGAACAAGTGTTTTAGATTAAAATGAATAGGTAGGAAATAAAACTATAATGTAAATCTAGACCCATAGTTGAATAGTTGACAGCTGCATGTCTAAGGAAAAAAATAGTCAATATTTTTCATGATGATAGATTGAAATGGGATTAGAATACAGCTGGATTTCATCTGGTACATCTCAACAGTACACATTTCCCTCAGACTTAAAAGAAATCTCTGGATGAACTTAAAGGGCTAAGCTATTTATCAATCATAAATTCTGTTGTTTGTCCTTAAATACAGATATTGGCAATTTTCATGTATCTATGCTGGCATTTCAAAATAAGAGTTATATTGCTAAATACTCTTTGCAATAAATTCAAGTTTGCCAATATATAACTATATGATGACTGCTCCTCTGAGACCCCACCAAAGGACAAGCATAATTTATAATATTTCTAACAGGGTAAAGACATGCCCTGTCTCAGGGAATTCATGAACTGTGATTTTGAGAAACATTGCAGTCACTAAGTACTTCTAGATATACCATAATTGTGTTCAGATGTGTACTTAATCAATTTTGTTTTAAATATTATCCAAATGAAATAAGACCTCATTTTTTAACATCTTGCATCAAACAATTAGCCACACTTCCAACAACATTCAATCTATACACTTTGTTAAATGAAACAAAAGCCCAGCTATTTCCTTTTGTTTTGTGTTCCATGCAGAATTTTATGTTCATTTTTCTATTTTGTTATGCATGATACTAAAATTCCTGTTAGTTAGAATACAGACATGACTTATGTAAGGAAAATGTGTATTCTTAATTATATAAAAGCACAGAAAACTCATACTGTCACCTGTGAATGTCGGGAAAGCCAATTGTGAGAATATGAAACAAGGACTTTGTTGTTATCCATTTATCAAAGGACAAAGACTGAAATTCTTAGCCTGACCCTCAAGGCCCTGAATTATCTGGTCTCTATCTACCTTGCAAGCCTCATTTCGCATTATGCTTGCACCTCCTGCTCTGTGCTCCAGCTACTCTGCCCTCTTTTCAGATCCATCTTGAACATCCCAGGCTATTTATCTTGTCTGAAATTTTCTCCTATTGTTCATCTGTTGTGCCTAATCCTCGTCTAGTTGAATCTTACTTTCTGTTGGATCTTATTTCAATAGTTATTTCTTCAGGAAAGCCTACACTAGCCTTCATTCCTAAATAATTTTTATCTAATATATACACTTATCAGCATGCCCCTCTCCTTCATATTTTTTATCATACTTGTAGTTTTCTGTTTGTGTTATACCCTGTTGAACATTTTCTACTCTGTTAAACTCTAGGGGCCATGCCATTTTTAGTAGTGTTTGTGTTATTATCAGTTAAAGATATTGCACATAGGTAGAACTAAATAAACATTAGTTAAATGAATAAGTTAATGAATGAAGTACATTTTATTCACGCCTGGCTTCAAAGTCTAATAAAAAAATCAGGCTTGAATTGAGCCACATCAGTGTTTTGGTTTAATAATGTCTTTAAAAATATTTCAGGGTTTTGTAAAAATAAAAATTGATTTTCAGTTAGGCTTTGAGCAGACAATGATGTTTTCTATCCAAACTTTTGTGATTCAGTGAGAATAAATTTGTAAGAAAAATGAAAACTTTGAGCATAAAATTTATAGTCTCAGCATTCCTCTCACATTCTTATTCTGAAAAGTATGTTCCTATTGTACCAGTCTTTGTGCAGATAAGAACTATTTATTCTGTTCAAGATAATAATGAAAAAAGGCAAAAAAGATAGTCAAAAAATTAAAATTTTTGATTGGGAGTTAACACTTGGTAGAAGGGAGCAGCCCTTTGAAGAAGGGGGTGACTCTGGATGAGTTACCTATATATTATGTCTTCATGGCTGAAAGGCAAATAAATTTCTGACAAAATTCTGCAGTATTTTTACCTTGGAGAACCAGATAACAGAATTAGAGACAAAAACTCTGCTTTAAAGTGACGGATGAATCCCTAAAAGGACAAATAGAAGGAAAGTAATTAAAAATTATGTGTGTAATGTATTTTCAAATCTCAGCCTGGCCCATGACCCACATGCACAGGCATACTATAAGCAGCACAACAAAAGCTAGTATCACTGTATTCAGTTTTAAACTTCTCTTTAAACTTCATTAAGTTTTAAACTTCTCTTTAAACTTCTCTCTAAAAGACAAAGATTGAACTTTAATTTCAATCAAATTAGTTGTCTGCTAAAGCAAACCAACACACAAAAATCAACACTGGAGAAATATGACAGAATTCAGATTCTTCAAAACACAGCATTTAAAATGTCCAAGAAACACCCTGTGTTAATCAGGGTTCTCCAGAGAAATAGAACCAATAGGAGATTAGACAGATAAATAGATGAGAGAGGATTTATTAGGGAAATTGGCAAATGCAGTTATGGAGGCTGAAGAGTCCCACAATAGACCAACTGTAAGATGAAGAAACAGGGAGCTGGAAGCATGGATATTTAAAGCCCAGAAGCCTCTAAACCAGGGAGCCCAATGGTATAACTCTCAGTCTTAGGCTAAAGGCTTGAGAACATGGGAGCAGGGCCTGCTGGTGAAAGTCTTTGAGCCCCAAAGCTGGACAACTGGAATTCTAATGTCCAAAGGAAGAATAAGAAGGATTTCTTAGGTCTAGAAGAAAGTACACAATTCACCTTCTGGCTTTTTGTTTAGTTGGTTGGATGGTGCCTGCCCACATTGGGTGAAGGTATATTTCTTAGCCAGTGTGCTGATTCAAATGCCAATCTTCTCTAAAAGACACCCTTATATTATCCAGAAATAATGCTGTACCAGCTCTCTGGGTATTACTTAATTCAGTCAAGTTGACATCTAAAATTAATGATAACAAGTCCAACTTTTGTCAACTTGGCACCCATATCCATCTGCTTAGATCATACTTAATCTCTAAATAAAGTAACAAAGTCATAGTTCTTCCTGTAATGATGCAACCATTCTGTGTACACCCATAAATGCATTAATCCCCTCCCTATAAAAGGAGGTAAAGTCCTTGTGTGATATTTATGCTTTCCCTGAAATTCCATAACTTAAATACTATGATGTAAAATTAACATTACTTAAATATTGATATAAACTCCATACATTTTATGTTACATAAGGGAATAAGAGAGAAAAGAAAACAAAGATATCTGTTTCATAAATGTCTATATAGACACACACACACACACATATATATACATATATATATATATATATACACACACACACACACACATAAATGTATTACTGACGAAAAAGGGAGAAAATACTCATGGCAATTACAGTCCTTGTGTCTATAACTGGCCACATGGTTGTAGTTTGTATTTCTAACTGCCTTCTTCTAATATCCATTCTGTATTCCCTTTGCCTTTAATAAGCGCCTCAGCTGGGTGTGGTTCTTTATGTGACAGGGTGACCCAAATTTTCATTTCTGAAATACAGCAAACAAATTGGTTTGTTGTATTTTCCAACTGAACTTAATCATAAGGCATGATAATATAGACAGACACCTTAAATTGTCTCCTGTATTTCAGATATTCTCCTCCTTACCTCCATTGTGCAGTAATAGACCAATTTCCCTTGATAGTCTGAATTAATCACCCCCTCCAATACTGTAACTCCCTTCTTAGCCCTTTTACTCAGAGGCATGAGGAGCCCAAAGTAGCTGAGTGGCGGTCTTATGATTAAGTGTTTTGGCATATTTTTGTGTCTCCTGGTAGAAGCATTTCTCCCTCTGGAACTAAGACCTCTAAGCTAGCAGAGCATAAGTTCCAGGAACAGCAAGAAGGATTTTGCTAGTGAGTCACTAGGTAAAATGGTGAGTAGTGCCACTGTTATTTTCACCCCTTGATTTCTAACCTGTGAATTCTGGCTATGAAAGAAACAATACCATAAATTGGACACTGATTCAAAGCATATATGGCCTTCTGAGAATCTTGCCCCACCCTGAAAGGGCTTGATACCTAGCTGGCCCTGTAACTGCATCTTCAAGAGGCCGTTCCATGGCTCTTCAGTCGGCTGCTCTAGGATGAACAAGAACACAGTAAGACCAGTGAATTCCATGAGCATGAATCCCTTGTTTTACTTCCTTGTTTGTGAGGTGAGTTCCTTGGTTAGAAGCAATTCTGTGTGTAATACTATGACAGTGGATAAGGGACCCTGTGAGTCTATGAATGGTAATTTTGGCATAAGCATTGCATGTACGGAAGCCAAATCCATATCCACAGTAAGTATTATTTCGGTAATGACAAAATAATGCCAGTTCCATGAGAGAAGGGGTTCAATGTATTGATCTGCCATCAGTTAGCTGGCTGATCACTCCAAGGAATGATTCTTTATCAGAGGCTCAATGTTGGTTTCTGTTGCTGGCAGGGTTGGGCACCCAAAATTGCCATAACCATAGGGCACCCAAAATTGTCAGCCTTGGTGAAAAGTTCATGTTTCTGAGCCCAGGCATAACCTCCATTTCTGCCACTATGACAACTTTTTCCATAAGATTTTTAGGCAATGACAAGGGTGACAGGAATAAGTGGCTGAGTGGTCTCCACAGAATGAGTCAGCCTATTATTATATTTGATTATTATTTAATAATCAAGTCAGCTTGATTATTAAAATATTCTCCTGAGGCCTCCCTTTGGTGAACACTTACATGGGAAACAAATATCTGTATTCTTTGAATATTCATAGAAGTTTATACATATATTTCTTTCCCAAATTTCTTTGTCACCAATTTTTTAATCATGGTCCTTCCAAGTTCCTTACCCTCAAGCCAAGCTGTTGACTGCAGTGCATGAATTGGTATATAACTGCACATATGCCCAATTCTTCATTCAAGCAAAGTACACAACCAGGTGCACTTCTGGAAATTCTGCCCACTGAAAATATTCTCCTTCACCACTGCCCTTCAGAGATGTCTTATAAATGAGGGTTGCATCTGTGCACTTTCAGATGATACCTACATATCATGTAGAATCATCTGGAAACCAGCTTCAAATCTTCTTTTCCTCAATCAACTGATCATAGGTACCTTTAGGACCACTGATATAAGTCCTGGAGTCCCAAGACTGGGTAACCTGGAGTTATGATGGTCAAGGATCAAAAAAGGAATGTTATTTCAAAAAACATGAGCAGAATTTGTATTCTTCTGTCTTTTTGTTCTATCCAGGCCCTCAGCCAGTTGGACGGTGCCACTCACATTGGGTTTCGAGCAGATCTTCCTTACTCAATCCACTGATTCAAATGACAATCTCCTCTGGAAACATCCTCACAGAAATACCCAGAAACGATGCTTTACTGGGTATCTGGGTGTCCCTTAATCCGATCATCTTGACACCTAAAAAATAAACATTCACACATCCTAAAATTACTTAACATATAAGGAAATAAGAAAATATGATTCAATCACAAAGGAAATTGCAATATGTAGCAATAAACCACAAGCATTGGAATTAGTAGATAAGAATTTAAAGGTAGTTGTTGTAACTATGATTTTTGAAGAAAAGAGCATATGCTCATCAGTGAAAATATAGAAATTCCAGTAGAAAAATGAACCATGTTAAAAATCCAAATGGAAATTTTAAAACAAAGAGATTAAGTATATGATGTAAAAATTTCACTGATTGTAGGTGGCATATATCCTCCAAAGGTCTCCACATCCCAGTCTCCAGGGCCAGAGAATATGCTATTTTACATGACAAAAGGAAGCTTGCAAATATGATTAAGAGGAGAGATTCTGAAATTTGGAGATTGTGTTGGATCATCTGGGTGGCCCTATTGTAATCAGAAGAATATTTCAAAGTAGAAGAAGGAAATAAATGATAAGATTAGAGAGGAAGACGTTGCTATGGAGGAGGTCAGAGAGATGACTCTACCCACTATTGCTGACTTTAAAGATGGAAGAAGGACATCATAAACCAAAGAAGTGATTTCTAGAAGCTGGAAGACAGAAGTAAACAGATTTCTCCCTAGAAGCTCCAGAAAGGAATCCAACCCTGAAGACACCTTGATATTAGCACAGAGAGATCCCTGATAGACTTCTAAACTACATACTGTAAGATAATCAATGTAAAACTAATGCAATGGGCTGGCCAGCTGAGTAAAGATGAAATATTAAAGATTAAGGAGTGAGCTTGATGATGAAACAATCACATGGGTTGAAAAAGAGAGCTCAAACATGAAGACGAGGAAGAGTGAAGGCTAAGAAAGAAGAAAGGAGGAGGAGCAGGGAAATAGGAGAAGGACAAGAAGAAAAAGAAGGAGAAAGAGAAGAAAAAGAAGCAGTAGTAGCAGCATCAGCACTGCCGCTACCAACAACAATAACAAATACCAGAGAAAACAAAAAATGCCAAGACATTTGCTTGTGAAATCCCATAGCATGCAGAGAAATAATGTTTTAAAGGACAATCAACTTCTCATCAATAACAATTGAGACCAGTAGAGAGTGAAACACCACCACTGAAGTGCAGAATACAAACACACACAAACACACACAGACACACACACACACACACACACACACACACACACACAGAGTATCAAGGCAGAATTCTATACCAAGGGAAAATATTTTTCAAAAATAAAAATGAAATCAAGATACTCATAGATAAAAAACCATCAAATTTGTTGGCAGCAGACTTATATTACAAGACATCTTAAAGGAAGTTCTTTAGATTGAAATGACATGAGAGCAGGTGGAAATTAATGTGTTCAGGAAGGAACAAAGGCTATTGAAGTGGGCTATATATCATATGAGGATAAAAACCATAACACTATAAAATAAAAAGCATAGGACCTACAATACTACCAAGCTTTCATATTATATGTATGATGTTAAAATTTTAATTCTCAATAGATCAAGAAAATTATAAACTGCATAGAGTAATCTCTAAAGTAACTACTAAAAAATAATGAAGAGTGTTAAATAGAAACATATATTTCAAATACTCTAAACAAAAGCAGAAGAAAAATGTATGAAAAATGGAAAATATGAAACAAAATAAACATAAATTAAAAATATAAAATTTACTTTAAACATTAATGCATAAAAAGACCAATAAAAAGCCTAGATTGCACAGGTAAGTGAAAAATAAATCTCAACTATGTGTTGTTAGAATGATGCACTTTAAATATAAAGAAACAGGCTGAGTGAAAAAAATGGGCAAAAAAGTATTTATCATATAAATGATAGTCACAAATGTCTATGCCTATACTAATACTAGGCACAAGATTATCAAAGAGAATGTCCAGTGACAAAAAGGAACATTGTATAATGATAAAATGTTTTATGCATCAGGAAGATAAGGTATTGTAAATGTATTTACCTATTACAAGAGCTTCAATTCACAAAGCAAAAATTGACAGTAAGAAAGAAAGAGGTACATAATTCCTCATTTATTGCTGGATAATTTAACATCACTCTTACATAAATTGTGGAAAAGAAATCTAGAAGCAAATCAGAAAAGATGTTGCAAAGCAGAATAACACAAATACCATGAATTGATATTTATGGAACTCTACAATGGTGAAGTAGAGTAACTATTATTTTCAAGTGCTCATTGTACACTTATCAAGATAGAACATACACTAGGAAATAAAGTGTAAATAAATTTGGAAAGATTGAAATTATATATAACATATTCTGTTGATGATAAGAGTAATTTAGAAAGCAACAACAATAAAATATCTTTAAAAAGACAAACTACTTGAAAATTAAGCAACATAATTTTAAATAATTTCTAGGCCAAAGAAGAAATTAAGATAAAATTAAAGTGTATTTTGTGTTTAGTGAAAATGAAATACAACATAAAACGGGTGGCTTGTAGTTGAATGAGCACTTAGAAATTTATAGCCCTATTTTATCACATTACAAAAGAAGAAAGATGATCTTTCTCTTTAAGAAGACAGAAAAAGAACCAAAAAATGTTATTGCTAAATATAAGAAGGAAATAATAATAATATAAACATCACTAATTAAACACAACAACAAATATGGAGAAAATTAAGAAAACTAGCTACTTAAAAAATTGACAAAATAAACAAGCCCTAACTCGACTGGATAAGAAAAGAGAGAGAGAAAGAAGAGAAGAGAGGGAAGGGAGATAATATAAACTAACCCATGTCAGGAATGAAAGAGGTAAATCATTAAAATTCCTAATAGAAATAAAAAGGATTATAAAATAATAGTATCAATATTTTACAATAAAAATTCAAAATCTTATATATAAAATGAACACATTTCTTTTAAAAATGTTTTTAGCAAATCTGACACATGATAAAATAGAAAATTTCAGTAGTTCAATATGTATTTAAGAGTTGAACTTATTATCATCATAAAGAAAGAAAACTTCAGCCCAGAGGTTTTAATGGTGAATTTTGTCAATTATTTAAGAGAAAAACAACATCAAACTTACAAAAACTACTACTGAAGAGAGAAAAAGGGAACACTTCCCCATTTATTATAAAATGACTTCATAAGAAGTCATCATAACTACAAATCTCATAAAGATATTAGAAAATTTTTAAAATACAGACCAATTTACCTCATAGATTTTTAAAAACTTTAATAATTATCAAATGAACTCAAGCAATACATAAAATAAATAATACATTATAACCTAATAAGATTTGTAAGTTTGATTTACCACTTGTCAGCAAATCAAGATTAAGTATCGGTCAAGAATAAAGGAGAAAAACCATATGAGAATTTCAATATGTACATTAAAAGTCTTTGAGAATTCTCAACCCTCAATCTTGATTAGGTCTCTTAGCAAATAGAAAAAAAAAGGAACTTTCTAAGTCTGATATGGTACAATATATTTACAATCAACATTGCACTTAATTTGAGATATTGAACACTATACCCTTAAGATATGGAATATTTTTATTCCATAATGCACTGTAGATTCCATCCATTGTAATAAAACAAGGAATGCGAGAAAAATCATTAATATTAGAGAGAGAGGAAGAAAGGAGGAGAAAAGAAAGAGAGGGAGAAGTGGGGGGAAAGGCTAAAGAAGGAAGGGAGGGAAGGATGGAGGAAGAAAGGAAGATGTCTCTATTTGCAGATTACAGAAATTTTAACAGAAATCCTAAAAAGAAGATAAATCCTCTACTAGAACTATTAAGTAAATTTAGTAATCCTGGGTATAAAGTAATATACACAAATAAATTTTATTTTTATACTTTGGCATATGCCATTAAAATATGAAATTTAAAAATAACCAAACAAAATACCAAAGAATAAACTTAGCAACAGATGTACTGCAAACCTGTTCTATATTTTTTTAATATTGAGAAAAAATTGAAGAGTAGCAAATGAATGGAGATATGAAAAATACCCATGTATTGAAAGACTCAGTGTTATTCAGAGACTGCTTTTTCCTAAGAGACCCCATAAATTCGATGCAACCTATTGAAAGATTTCCCACGTTTTTTGGTAGAAATTGAAAAGCTGTTTCTAAAATGCGTGTGGACATGCAAATAATCTAGACTGTCTAAAACAATTGTTTATAAAAAGAACCATATTTAAGGACTTACACTTTCTATACTTCAAGAAATATTATAAAGACACAAAAGCAATACAACATGTTACCAGCCTAAGAATTTACAAATATACCAATTCAATGTAATACAGAACCCAGAAATAGACCAAATTGATGTCATTTGATTTTCAACAAGGGTGTAAGAGCAATCCCAATTAAGAAAGAAAAGTCTTTTCAACAAGTGACATTGTAACAACTGGAAATTCATATAGGAAAAAAATTTATCACAACTAGAAACTAAATTGAGGTAATAGACTTAAACATAAAAAACTACATATGTTTTAGAACACAATGGCTAATATCTTCCTGACACAAGCACGTACAAAAATATACATTCTATATGCTTTCGTTATTATGAAATTCTGTATTATAGTAAAAAAAAATCAAAATAGTGTTTTTCTCTAGGGGCAGGATTAGTGGCCAGAACAGACTGAGAATGGACATGACGACACTTTTTGGAATGATGGCGGCATTTTACATTTTGAGAGGGGTTTGAGTTACACAGGTGTGTGCATTTGCAAAAAGTCATCGAGTGGTATACTTAAGATCTGTGTGATTTGTTGTATGTAAATGATACCACAACAAAAAATGTAAAAAGAAATAGTGAGACCTAGTTAATGAAATGTACACTGAAGTGTTTCTGAGAAGTGTACTAATATCTGTAATTTACTTTGGAATAAATTAAAATATGAGATAAGTTAATGAATGAACATAGATGTGCTTAGATGGATAGTAAATTGTTAATAGTAGAAATGAGGCTGCCAGTACTTAAATGTTCATTGGGAACATCTTTCAAATTTTCGGTGTTTGAAATATTTTATAATAAAATTTGGGGGAGCAACAGGGAGAAAAGTAATTACTCAAAAAGCAAAACCTGTAATCGGAATAATAACGATGGTAACCAACATACATGAAGACTTATTATGGGGTAGCCTAAGATTTCTCACATATTATCTCATTTAAATCTTGCAAGAATTCTCAGTGATAAAGAGAATTATTATATGCATTCATAGGAGAACTTTAGAGAATTATTATTATATGCATTCATAGGAGACATTTAGAGACATTAATAACGTTTTGGTACTTTGTGAATACCAGATTCAAGAGTCAAATCATCTCTTGTTTGATATTAAAGTGTATCTTCTAAGCCACTGTGCTATATGCTTTCCTGAATTTGTATAGAATCAAAAAACAGAATTTAGGAATAATGACCCCAAAATTCAGAGTAAGCAAACTCCATTGAATACCAAAGATATAATACAAAGCACACTAAAAGAACAAGTCAAATTCGGCCGGGTGCAGTGGCTCACGCATGTAATCCCAGCATTTTCGGAGGCTGAGGCGGGAGGATCACTTGAGGTCAGGAGTTCCAAACTAGCCTGGTCAACATGGAAAAATCCCTTGTCTACTAAAGTACAAAAATTAACCAGGTGTGGTGGTGTACGCCTGTAATCCCAGCTACTTGGAAGGCTGAGACATGAGAATCTCTTGAACCCAGGCGGGCACAGGTCGCAATGAGCCTACATCACACCACCGTACTCCACCCTGGGCAACAGAGCAAGACCCCGTTTCAAAAAAAGAAAAGTCAAATTGAACCTGATATTTATATTTTCATCCATTAGGTCTGTACAAATTTCTTAGTAAAATTAATATTGATCAAAACTCCCTATATATGTTTAGTGTCTCCTCTGAAATAATTCTGGTAAGAAACTATAATTTCAGTCATTTAAAAAAAAAATGTTGGCCTTAAAACTATAGTTTATAAAACCTGGCATAGTGGCAGTTTATATTAATGGTATGGACAGGATAGATAGAGTATAAAGGAAGGAAGGCAGGGGGGAAGGAGGGAAGGAGGGAAGGAGGGAAGGAAGGAAGGAAGGAAGGAGGGAAAGAAGGAAAAGTTTTAAACTTTCAAATCTATATACTGAGTTTCCTACAATAACTAATTAATTTTAGGAAAGATGATATGAGGGAGCAAAGACGCCAGATTAAATGTAAATAAATTAATGGGGCTGGGTGTGGTGGCTCATGCCTATAATCCCAGCAATTTGGGAGGTTGAGGTGAGCAGATCACTTGAGGTCAGGAGTTCCAGACCACCCTGGTCAACATGACAAAACCCCATCTCTATTAAAAATACAAAAACTAGCCAGGAGAGGTGGTGGGCTTCATAATCCAGCTACCCTGGAGGCTGAGGCAGAAGAATCATTTGAACACAGGAGGCAGAGGCTGCAGTGAGCCAAGATCGCACCACTGCATCCAGCCTGGGGAGACAGAGCAAGACTCTGTCTTAAATAAATAAATAAATAAATAAATAAATAATAAATAAAATAAAATAAAAATAAAAAAAATTGTCATCAAAGTGAGAGGTTATTTTTCTAATTTCTAACAAAAGAAGAGAACACACACAAAGAGAAAAAGAGCAAGCAAGCAAAAGAGATTAAAGACTTAAAAAATATTTCAAGATACCCAGTGGTAGAAATAAGAGTCATTATCCAATATCACAGAGTTTACATAGAAAATGGCAATAGCAAAAATATGCTTCTACAACTTGTTATTTGTGTCATGAAATAAATAAGATGAATCTAACTTTATAGCTAAAATATAAAAGAAAAAGATGTAATTAAATGAGTTTGGCAAAGTTAAACTTTTGAGAATGATCATACAAATAAGAGAATATAAATATGTATGTTAAATATAATTACTCTCTAGCAGCCACTAGTTTCCATTACTATTATTACTGAGTTCAGCAGTTTGATCCATGGTAAAAAGCATATGGTCAGTCTTGTTGCAGATCTACTTAATGCTTGATTCCTGATAAAATACATTAAGGAATGCTCAGAAAACTTTTAAGTGGAGAAATCTCAAAAACATGACTTATGTAAGTTCCTTAGAATATTGCTATCTCTAATCCTTGTTGATTTTAATAGAAAAAAATTAAAATTCTTATATTTGTGCTTTTCTCATAAACCTACAAATATTCAAATGAGTTATAAAACCATCTTGAATATTATGAAATGGATTTATATTCTTTAATCTGGGGTTGCTTAATCCCTCTTCTGTTAAAGATCCACAAAATGTCCAACTTAGTTTTCATTTTGTCTTAAAGAGACAGAATAAAAACAGTTACTTTATTCTAGATTTATACAATTATCTTAAATTTTGAATGGTTTCAGGCATTTTCCCTACACAAAAATAATAAGTTTTTTCATAACTATTTACTAAATGTCTACTTTTTCCCAAACTCTTTTCTAGATACTGAAACTGCACTGTTAAACAACAACAAAGAAACCAAAATATTATATATTTCTATTTTATGGGGCTATTAATCTGGTACAGAAACTAAACATAGTCAAGTATCGAAGAAACACAATTATTTCAGATAGTGGCAAGTGTGAGGAAAATAATAAAACAGTCTGTTATAATGTCTAGTGACTTGTGGGCATCACTTTAGATTTGGTGTTCACAGTATAGCTCTCAGAGAGGTTGACCTTCTTATTGAGACTAACCATGTAAATATCCAGGAGACTCCATTTTAGATAGAAGAAAATTTGAAGGCTGTAAAATATACATGAATTTGAACACGGCATGATTTTGGAACTGGCTGAAAGCCAGTGTCGCTAAAAGGATGGAGTGAAGAAAAGAGAGTGAGATGTGATAAAGTTGGAGGAATAGACAAATTCATGTAGAGATTAAAAAGGCATAGCAAAGAATCTATATATTTTCCCCAGTACATTGGAGACCATTGACAAGAGAAATGGCATGTGTTTTCTAAATGCTATTGTTTCACATTGTATAGATTAAAATGTAGACAAACATAGAAATTAGAAGCATAAAAATAGTAGCATTCAGTGTAGTGTAGGCAAGAAATAATACTATCTTTAAAAAGGATTGTGTAACGGTAAGGAAAGGAGAAGTAAATGGGTTTTGGTTTTATTTTTAAAATATAATCAGAGATTCTGTTTGGGCCTTGATAATATACCTTATCAACACCCTTAAAGTAGAGCTATCAAAACGGCAATCAACTATATCACTTTGTTCCATGAACTAAATATGTTGAATCTAATTCCATACACCTGAGGTACAAAAGACAAAAAAAAAAAGCCAAAAAAGAAAATAAAAGAAAAATGTAATTAAATAGATTTGACAAAGAAAAAAATCTTAAGAATGAACATATGCCTAAGAAAATATAAATAAGTTTCTGTTTTTCCCTACTATTATCTCTTTAAACAACTCACATTAAGAGAGTTATATGAAAGGAATAAAAATGTGGATTTCAATGGTTTTATTAAATCAAAAAACAAAACAAATTAAAAATGAAAAGCACCAGAAATTAATTCATATTAGAGACACGTTAGTAGGAATAGTAGCACTCACCAAAAGCTACTACAACCTTATTCTAGTATCAATTTGTCATTCATGAAAAGGTATTGTATTTATTTTTAACAACTACCTTTTAAAAATAATCAAAGTAGTAGTGAAGTCTTCAAAATTATTTAAATGAGGTAACATTGAAAGACATTTAGGATGTTGGGCTTAAAGAAGTGGAATCATAATGGTGACAATTTTACTTTCTAATAGTTGAAGTCCTGGATTATTTAAGAATGATTTCTTTTACTTTAAATAGACTTTTGGGATAGACTTTTAAGGGGTGCATATCAAATATAGGGAGACATTTTTCACCGCACAACTAGGAAGATTGATCTACAGAAGAATCACGCTAACTTGAAATGTTTGAGTCCCTATTCCTTGCACTATTTAATTATCTTCTTACTCCTCCTTACCATTTTTTATTGACTCACTGATACACTTCAAAATTGTTAAGAAATGTGGCATCTACCTCACAAAACGACACATCCTATATATAGGTTTAACAAATTATCCTTCAAACTGGAACACATTTGAGTAAAATGGAAGCTTCATTTCTCTTTAAGCTGGAGAAACAGTCACAGAGCAGAACTTTTCTGGAAGGTCAGGATGTATGGTCACCCTGCCTTCTTGTAAATAGTAAACCAACACCATCCTGTTATTGCGTTCTTTTTTTTAATCCTCTTCGTTTCCAAAACCACTTTAGCCTCTTACATGGATGGCCATAACCCAGACAATATCATTTTTCTTAACTAATACACACTAGCTATTTTAAACTATAATATCCCTGGGTCCAAATGCAATGCCCTAGTTTTTCAGTTTTTAATTTCAATACTGGAGATAGTTGATAAATGTAACATTGGTTTTAGAAACTCCTCACCTAATAGAGACTAATATTTTTCTGCACCCTTTTTGTTCTTCAGTTACACTTGTTCAGCAAAGCTCCAACTCAGCATCGCTCCAGTGATGCAAATCTCCACATACTGTTAAGTGATCACCTAGCTGTACAGTAGTCATAGTTTAAACACTCACCGTTCCTAAACTTGTATCTCCATGCTAATCAGCAACCCTTTGACATACTCAGTTGTTTTTCTCTTTCACTTGTCTTCTCATAATCCCTATCATAAAATCTTCATTAATTAATAATATTGATAAAGTAGATTTTTCCCAAGTGCTGATTTTAATTTATAAATAATTCATTTATTCCAACCCATTTTATTCCCAAAGAAAAACCCACATTTTGCTTCTCTTTGAGAGCAGTCTTTTGACTGGAGCTTGTGGTTTTCTCAAATATCCTCCAAAACATTGGCTTCAACAATTGCCATTTTCATATCTCATGGTTGTTTCCCTCAATCCATAAATAGGCTCACATATCTCATTTCTTTTTTAAAAATAATAAAAATAAATATTTTACTTTGATTTCTATATATTATTTCTCTTCCATGCATATTGCTTCTAATTATAAACTATCTCAATTTCTTACCGTCCATTTCTTTTAGAACTTACCATTATCTAACATCTTCCTCAATGATGTCAAGGAAATTTCTCCTGCCCAGATTCCTAGTTCATATTTTGATCATTTTATTTATCATATATTTTGGGAGTATCTGCAATATGGCAGACACCATTGAATTGTTTGGATTAAATCAGCGAGGATAACAATAAAGAAAACAGACAAAATCTCTTCCCTCAAGAAGTTTACATTTTACTGGGGCTAGACAGAATTTTAAAAAATGAACAAACATGCTCAATAGGTAAATTATGTCGTGTTTTAGAAGTTGGCAAGTGCCATGCTTAATAATATGTTAAAAGAAGACGAGCAGAACAGGGAATCAGAACTTGGCCCAGAAGATGAGTTACAATTTTAAATTGAATGGTCATAACTGACCTCATTTGTAAAGTGCTATCTGAACTAAGATTTAAGAAAAGTGAAGAATATAGCTATGTGAATAAGCAAGAGTGCAGGTCAGGCATGTTCAAGAAGCCCGCAAAGAGGTCAGATTGGCTAAAGTAAGGGAGAGCACAGCGGAAAATAATTTTACAGAGGTACAGAAACCAAGATTATGTACGACCTTATAGAACATTGTAAAGCAAATGACCTTCATTCTAAGCGAAATGGGTTCTGTGATGGTTTTGAACAAGAGAGTGGCATGATCTGACTTAAGTTTTAAAAGTATCACCTAAAATCTCATATTAACAATAGAAAGACTTTGCGGGGGGCAAGGATACGTTCACAGAAGTAATAAGGAAGCTATTATAATAACCTAGGAGGAAACTAATAAGACTTACACCAGTATGGTACCATATGGTGGTGGAAGTACTGTTTGCAGAAAGGTAGAAATGGTCACATTCTGAAAATTTTTCAAGGTGGTTGTAACAGGATTGGACATGGGATGTCAGAGATGGGATGGCTCCAGGCTTTTGGCCCCAAACAATGGGACCACATGGATCTTGATTATGGTTTCAGAAGAGTTGACTGGCAAAAACGAAAACAAAAACAAAAACATTAAGAAGGCTACAAAGCCCACCAGGAAAAAGGATTTAAAGAGGGAAATCTGTTTTGTTTGTTTGTTTGTTTGTTTGTTTTTTTGCATTTAAAATTATTTTTTTATTATACTTTAAGTTTTAGGGTACATGTGCACAATGTGCAGGTTAGTTACATATGTATACATGTGCCATGCTGATGCGCTGCACCCACTAACTCTTCATCTAGCATTAGGTATATCTCCCAATGCTATCCCTCCCCCGCCCCCCCCGCCCCACAACAGTCCTCACAGTGTGATGTTCCCCTTCCTGTGTCCATGTGTTCCCATTGTTCAGTTCCCACCTATGAGTGAAAATATGCGGTGTTTGGTTTTTTGTTCTTGTGATATCTTGAGAAGGCTTTCAGCACCTTCCCACCTGGCATGTGGTCCCCAGGCAGCCAAAACAACACCCCCTAAAAGCTTGTTAGAAAGATAAAATCTCAGTCCCCTGCCCTACCTACTAAATCAGAATCTCCATACTCGCAAGGGCCCTAGATAATTTCTAGGGGAAATCCAGATAATTTCTTTGGGGAAATCTGCTGTGATAATATATTAGATGAGAGAACAAGAAGGAAGCATGTAGTTGGCAAAAATGTCTAATCTTTTTAAAAAATTCTTTCATAAATAGTGGAAGCATTTGTGAGTTGTAGATTGTTTTTAAACTGGAAGAAAGTTATTGAAAATTGTGATTAGTTCTTCTATGCAGAAAAATTAAGACTACAATCTGACAGACATATTCCATGAAGTTAAGATGTAGATTCATCAATTTAAAAAAATAATTTTAAATTCCTGTGTATTGTCCCTCCCTCAATTTCCCTGATTTGTAAAAACTAATTTCTGAGACTCTTTTTGGTCAGTTTATTTTGTGTAACTGCAAATATATAAGGAGTTAGCCACGAACAACCATAGATTGTCAGTTAGTCAAGAATTGGTTTAAAAATATTGAAACAAAAGCTTCTGGAGCCTGCATAACAGATGCAAGTTTGTGTAGCTAGTAAGAGGGATAGTTGGGCTAGAATAAAGAACCATTGAATTATTGAAGGTAATATAGTGAATTTTTAAAAGTGTTCCATAGTACAGGTTTTTTTGGCTGCATAATTTTACCAAAAATGTGAATAAATTGACAAAAATGCTTTTTACAAAATGCTTGTCAACAGCATTCATAGGCACAGAAAGAAGATAATTTGTGTTAATTGACATATAATATGTGGCATATGTCTAGGACAATATTGTTAAATTAAAGGGTACTGTTTTGCATGTTAATATTAGCTACTGTCATATATTTGGCAACAAACAAGCATTAAAATCACAAAATATAAATCTCAAAGCAATCAACTTTGGAAACAATTCTTCATGCCAAATTGTACTTCATCTAGCATGTAATGGTAATGATAATACCTCTAGTCTGCCACAGCCTAGATGGGCAGATAGGTTTCGCTTAGATTTCCCCAAGTAATATTTCCAAGCTTTTCTTTCACTAATTATTTTACAAATATCAGGGAAATTTTTGTACATTCTACTCAAAACACATTTCTCTAACACTTTTAGAAATGTTATTTAAATATCATGGCTCTCCTCTGCATCTAGAGTTTTCCTCCATCACATCCTCAACATGAGCTGCTGATTTTTTATTTCTTTTTTTTTTTTCTATCTTAGAATGTTCAACCCGAAGTCTTTCCTTTCTCAAAGAGTTTTCTGACCCATTGTCAGATTAGAACTGATCTTTCCTGGTCTCTGTAGAATCTCTTCTTCTCCTATCTTTATGACTCATGTTTGTTTTTGTCACTGCATTTTGTCTTCCTTGTATGTGGTTATTAGAAAATTTATTTAGATCCTAATTTGTGAGATTTCTAAAGACATGAATGGTGTCTTCCTTGAAAGAACAGTAACACTATGGAGAACGAGAATGTCATAACGATAGTAAAAACAGCTAAATTTAACTTTGTATTTATGCCCCAAGTTATTTTATTTATTCTTATATATGTATATTGCCCAATAAAAGCACTATAAAGCAGTTTCTATCAGCCCAAAGTGACTAAATGCCTTGTCCAAGCTCAATCAGGCTGCCAGTTACATCATCAGGATTCTAACCCTGTTGCCAGAGACGATAATTTTATTATTTTACAACACAATTTTGGCAAAGCAGAGGTCCAGAATTCAACAAATGCTGATTTATATCCCTAGCTTTTTCTCTCATTCCATGGAGCAAATTTTGGGAAACAGATGTAAATTTTCAGGGATTTCCTTGTTATACTTGCTAACATGGTAACACATGATAGAGATTCCATAACTATTCAATAAGCTAACACACTTACATTTTGTAGGTTAGAGTATCAATGTACTAAATTGTAGCCCCATTCTTATTTCTAATTTCTGTGTTCTCCATAGAGATTTTTACAATATTATTTTCAAAGGGAGTATTCCCTTTGAAAGTAATTTGTATACAATGAAAACCAAAGCACCTCTATTTCACCTCCTTTCTGGACAGATTTACCTTAGAGCTGTAGAAATATGTCACAATGTCTCCCTGACTCACAGTGACTTTCCTTGACCAAACTTTAACATGTTTATGGATCCCATCAGGGCCTGCTCCGGGAATCCAGGTTGTAAGTTTAGCATGCTTTGACTTTTACATCAGTCACTTAGAATTGATCTTTTTCATTTGCATCAGTAGAAAAAAATCTCTTCTGCATCTCTTCAAAGAAAGAAATAAAGGATTCTTAAGACTGGTTTCCATCACGGTAGTTTAGGAAAACAGTTTTAACAACAATAATGGGTGACTTTTCTCTGAGAAGTCACAAGCAATTGTGTTGTCAGTATAAGAACTGAAAGCATTTGGTTTATACATGTGGCATGACTGTCTTAATCTTTTAGTTCATCAAATTCCAAGGAGTGAGCAAAAGGCAAAGATTGTAACTTTAGCTGCCAAAGAGAGTGTGAATCATTTCTCTCAAGATTTTAAATATCCTTTTTTTAGCTTGCAGGCATAAAGCAACCAACCTGAATGAAAACAGATTTGGGCTGTAATAAGAAGAAGGAATTTAACCAGCATATGCTAAAGTGTCTTACTGAAACAGAACAAAAGTTTTATGCATAAATGTTACTTTAAAAAATACGCAGCCAGTTGTTCACACTGTGTTCATTGGACCTTATTATACCTTTAAAGGTCATGAGAACTCTGCTAAGACAAGGAACTAGAAATTACAAGAACAATAATCAGTCATATCTTTTGATACCTATAGATGAATGCAACTTTTTAGTACCTTGCTCTAATTTAAGGCTTGCGTAGATATATATTTTTTATACTTACATTGTTTTATATTTTCATTGTATTGATAATATACTAAAATAGTATATCATATTAAAATGTTATTTAAATTGACAATTAGTAATAATAAATCTATGATATGATGGAATAAATCAGGTAGGCCAGAATGGACTCATATACAGGGATTTAGTTTACATAAGATGATATCTCAAGTTAGTATGGAAAGGTTTGATTATGCAAAGAATTCTATAGAAACAATTGGAGATCTATGTATCTATCATCTATCGCTCTATCTATGTATCATCTATCTATCTATCTATCATATACATTTGTGTCAAGATTTCACTCATTATGACAAAATAAATCCCAATTGGATACAAGCTCTAAGCATAAAAATAAACAGTAAAGGTGCTAAATAAAATACTAATGTTTTTCATTACTGATTGGAAAATTACATTTTAACCATTACCCAAAGCTTAGAAATATAAGAGAAAGTTTGACAATTAGGCTATATAGTTGGAAGATTAATACATGGACAGCATATTATAAGTCAAGTTAAAAGGAAGAGATGTGAACCTGGGCAGAATATTTGTAACACAGATGAGGAATAGATGTGAGTCTTAAATATATTAAAAGTTGATACAAACCAGCATAAAAGAACAGCTGCAGAAAGACAAGAGAGTTTTCCTTACAGTATCTGCATAAATGATTTCTTATCAAAGAGGTCTTCTCTGACAATCTTGCCAAAAGAATCCCAGCATTTTGACAATCTCTCTAATCAGGCTTTTCATTATCATTTACTGTCTGTAATTCCACTTACACTACCGGAGACTTTATATTCATTTCATTCTTATATTCTAGTCCATGACTCATTGCCTGGCTTATAGTGTTTATAAAAATTTAGAATAAATGAATAAATGAATCTAGAATAAAATGTAAAGAGACATGATAAATAACAGAAATATTACCTTGAAAAGAATGAATATTCTTAGCAGTAAAGCAAGTATAAAGATGTGTGTGTGTGTGTGCATGTGTACATCTGTTTGTATAATCGAAAATAGTCTGTATCATAACCCTAGCACAAGTGTTATCAAGAACTCCTCAGTGGACAGATGATGTTAGGTAATATGAATTGGTGGAGAACTGGATAAGTTTGATTTCATGTTTCCACATGATTGCTCTGCTGCCTACAATCAAGAAAAGAGAAATATCTGTTAGTATTTAACAAGATTGCAAGCAACAAATAAAGGAATAATTGCACGATTTTAGAATATATTTATTTGAAGTGGTTTACCATTGACCCCACCATAGGAAAAAAAGCTGGAAATGGGGTGGCAATGTCAGAGATCATGAAAATTTGGAAAACACACAAGGACAATGAACAGGAAATTTATTATAGTGGAAAGGGAAATGTTTCAAAGACTTGAAATCTTCTTTAAGACTTTTATATTGTACATCGTCATTTACTCCCAGCTTCTCTTGCTGGCTTCTCTTCCTGTACCTTCTTATGGGATTGATGCTCTTCCATGTTTTTATTCATGCAATACTTCCTGGATGACCACCTTCAATGTCATGTCTATCCTATATGTTAATGATTTCCAAATATCTATATTCAGTTCTAAAGTCAGCAATTCAAATGGTATTTATCAGGTTGAATACTTGAAACAGCCCTTTCAATCTTGGTTCCAAATTCCCCACAAAAAGAATGTGGCAGATGGCCGTGTCAGCCCACTGGGAAACACCACATCTCACAGAAGCACCCTTGGTATTACAGGCCTGCTATGCACCAGGTGGAGAAGTACCAGTGGGTCAACACAAATCGATGACACAGTGACTGGGCATGCGATGGGAGAGAACTCAGAGGAAAAACTTTATTCTCTCTACAATGAAAATGTAAGGTTGAGAGGCCCATGGAACAAAAAAACAAATACCACATTAGTCCAGGGTGCAGAATGGTGACTCTTCTCATTCATATCATTACTCTGTTCATAGCTGTACTTTTAATTATTTAATTTTATATGAAGTTGTATGCAATATTAGTGAATATACCCAGTAAAGTAATAGAATGAAGATATTGATCTGAAATCCAGACTTAACAAGCTAACTGCCATCCAAATTTTATCAGTTAGGGTTCAGTTATAAGAAATGGAAACCGTTATAGCTACTTTTAGCAGAAAGGGATTCAATGCAGTGGTCAGATTATTTAAAATTTTCAGAAGGACTGGAGGGGCAGCTCAAGGCTGACACCTTAGATGCCACAACGGGAATTGTTAAGAACACTCAGCTGCAGCTGTGATCCACATATGCGGATGCTGCTCCCACACACACCCCAAGGTCATGACAGGAGAAAGCTAGGGACTGGGTTGCTGAAGAAAAACCCTTTGTCCTTACAACTATGCTTAATGTGGGGGCGAGGGGGAGGGGGAACCCAATCAATTAGGAGACAGTTTGCCCTTCAAACCCACTTCCAAATTTCAAATGTTGTGCAACTGCATCTAGTTAGAGATGTCAACTTTGTATCAAAATGGTAGAAATTAAGGACTTTTAAAGAGCTGTTTTAGTTTTTCCATCCTCTGAAGGAAGATTGATAACTATAAGGAGGAAAGGCAGGATGCTGAATGGGAATCATTCAGAATTACTACAGGAACATACCAGCCTGGAGGGTCAATAGGTAATTCAACCAACGTCAACCCAGAAAACAGAAATTTTTGTCTATTAAACTGCTTCTCGTCTTAAATGCCTCATCCTGGTTAATTACACTATCCAGGAATTTTCCTTTATTCCTATTTTCCCCTATTATAAATTCTTATAGATAAACACATTTTATTTATTCTAACATTTAAAATACCCTAACATTCCTGTAGATCAATCAGTTTTATTGATTGTAACATTTAAATATCTCTGAGTCACTTTTTATGTCTTTATATGAAATCTCATCAGGGGCAGATTTTCAGCTAATTTATGATTACTACTTTTGTCCATGATTGAAAAGATAATAAAATTTTTCTGATTCAAGTGACCCGAACCAAAATACTTTTTTCAACATTTTTTGCATTTGGTGAACAATTTTAATGTTATTATATTCTTATTTCTTCCAAAGATTTAATTAAAAAATTATTTTATCTTTAAAAACAGCAGAACTTAATAAGCTTGTAATATAGATTGCTTCAATTATTGTGATTTGTCCTATAAATATTTCTTGATCAATCAAAGGCAGAGAATAATTCAGAATGCTGGAAATGTAAAGACTTTTGTTTATGTTATTTTAGGTTGAGGTTGAGAATTTTTGTGTTCGAGTTTTATTCCATTTTATATATTTAACTTGTATTTTTAAAAGGCCTAGTGATAAAACTTGCATGTTCCACATTGTGGTAAGATAAACAAATACCTTGAAAGAGTTCCACATCTCCACCAGTGAAACCTGTGAGTATGTGACCTTATGTCCAAAAGGGATTTTGTAGATGTGATTAAGGATTAAGTATTTTCAGGTAAGGAAATTATTCTGCATTATCCAGATGAGGCTAATGCAATTACAAGGTCCTTGTAAGAGAGAGGTAGTAGAGTTAGATTCAGAGATTACAAAGAGATGTGATGATGAAGGCAGAAGCTGAAGTAATACACTTTGCAGATGGAGAAAGGGACCATGAGCCCAGAAATGCAAATGGTCTTTAGAAGCTGGAACACACAGGGAAATGGATTTTCCCCTGAAATTTTCAGAAGGAGCAGAGCCCTGCTAACACTTTGATTTCAGACTTCTGACTTTCACAATGATAAGGGAATAGATCATATTTGTTTTAAGCCACAATTGTAGCAATTTATCATAGCAGCAATAGGAAACAAATACACCTATTTTTAATTATAGAGATTAAGTTTAGTCTGCCATTATGCAGTATTTTTGGTTTCTATGATGGTAAACTTTTAACTTGGATTGGAATGTAATCACAGATGCACAAGCAAGTGACAATTATTTCACCTTTCAAGATATTACAATATCAACATAGATCATATATGTTTCATCATTGTTCTGATGCCATTTAGAAATTATTTTTAAATTCCTATGTATTTAACATTCCTTTGAATTTAATGATAGTGCAAGCATATTTCTTCTGAAATAAATTATTTTAATGAGAGACCATTAAAAGTTATTTAATGGGAATTCTTATTAAAGTACTAATACTCATTCTGTACATTCAAGGTGTTTTCTATATATTCATAGAAATATACATGATTATATCATATTTGAGTTACAAATATTCCCATTCAAGTATGACTGGTTATTCAAAAAGCTCTAAGAGATCGGATGCAGTTGAAAAAAAATTAAATTAATGTAATTCATTCACAAATGTTAGGTATTTTATTACAATCTGTTATATTCCTTGATTAGCTTTGCTAAATTAACTTCATGACAAAAAGTAAAAGCTATTTCAAATACAAATTGTTTTTAAAATGAAGATGTACACCTACATCGTAACTTAATTCTAACCTAAAAAGAAGGTGTTGGTTTTTCACAACATGGGAACCAAATGCATTGTGCAATTTTCACAATGTGCCTTGGTAGAACTTGAGTCCATAGTCCCTAGACAGTAGGGAACAGGGTAAGTAATGTCACCAGTAGAACAAGTATTAAATAAGAAGTTAAAATTGAGTAAGTTGATCTCCTAAACTGTTCAATAGATAAATGACATGGAGAAGCACAGGGATAACTTAATGGTTATATTTATTTTGGATTAAGAAATAAGATACTGATGATATATTCTGGTAGAGAAAACTGCAGACTTTTTAAATGAACCAGTTGGAGATAATGGAGCTAACTGATGCCAGGTCAACATGAAACTAATTTTCCATTTTCACAAGGAACAGATGGTGTGGATGGACATGAAAATTGGCTTCATAGAGGGAAAAATGGTTTAGTTTGGCAAGTTAATTTCAGAAAATATACTTCAGGAGCTATTTTTTTTTCAGCCATATTGAGAATGTTCTCCCACTGATATGGTTGATTAAGAGTAATCATGGCTATGTGTGCAATCTGTGAACATCTAGATGCCTCCCTTTGGTAAGATCCCCTCACTGGCCAGCTGGGTTTGTGGAACAAGTTTCTGGAAATTTTCATTTTATGTAATTTAATGGAAGTGTAATAAACAAGGAAAAAATTTCACATAATGAATTGGAGATGTCTTCTACTGGCTAATGCCTATACCATATTCCTATGAAGAACAATGGCAGAAAAATAATAGAAGAGGTCATAGCCAATGGTATTTTGAACAAAACTTTTTTAGAAGTGTTTGTTTAAGAGGAACCGAATACAATTTTATCTAAGAGGTTGTATTTTTGACTTGGAAAGACAATTACTTCATTTAATGTAGAAAAGAGACTGAAAAACCAAAAGGCTGAATTTGAGTTTTCGTCTTTTCTTTCAGTTAATGGTCTGATTTGGAAAACATGAGGGAAGTAAGGAGATGAATAGCTTGCTGTATATATTATGCCAAACAACAGTTTTTCAAACTTGGTCCTACTGCGAGTTCACAAACATGGACCTACATCAATTACTCTGATTCTGTGAAATAAAGATAATCTTACTTTTTTGAAATGGCAATCTATATTTTAATCATGCGACCTTCAAAAGAAAGATGAGAGAGAGAAAGAAAATACGCAGAAAAATTCTAACACTGGCTCTAACTGAAGACAACAGATGTGGCATTGTAAGATATTTTGTTAAAATAAAATAAAGACTCACTAATAATTCACAAGGAAAATAATAGCTGAGTAGGTGCCTTTAGATGTTAATAATGACTGAAAAATCAGGAATAATAAAGTTAGCATGAGATTTTTAACACAAGATATAAATGTCACATGGATAATATCAAAATTGTATAGTGTGGAAATCATGACCACACAGTGTATTAAAATGAATCTTATTCAAAAGAACTATATCTGATAACAACAATAAGAAAACACATAATTATGAATATCGAATATCAAGAAAACATCTATTTGGATGGAAAAATAATTCATGAACTGAAGAACAGATACATGGAGGGTAAAAAAAAATGTTGGTAAAAGAAATGAAGCAAACTGGTAAAAGATTGTAGCTCTACAGGCTAGATGGTAAGTGTGGAGGGAACCATGGTTTAATACTGCCTTGGTTAGAATTCATAGATGAGCAAATCACTGAGAGAAGCTGCTGTTCTAAACTAAAGTCTCATGAGAAAGGAAGAAATAGCCATTGATTTAAAAATACAGAAAATCTTGAAAGAATGAGGAAATGTACTGTTGGAGTTTATTTTAACAAAGGAAGAAACACCCTATATAGTCAATATAACCGTGACTTCAGCAGAGCATATGTTCTCTAAATGCGGAACATTTAATCACATCTTAATTAAAACATAAAAATACATTTATTTAAAAGTTTTGACAGTCATATTATTATGTTAAACCACATAAAATTTTTATTTTTTATGTCACAAATATTCAAATATCAATAATTTAAAATGGTTCAACAATAGTATGCAAAATAATGTGTCAAATATATCCAAATTTAAAATGGCTCAAGTAAAAAAATGAGTGTTTACTAGAAGTCCTCAAAACAAGAGTCCAAATTGGATGTTCCTAATGTCCAGGTGTCTGTCCTCCATGTGGTGCTTCTGTACCTCTGTCCTGCTCAAGTACTTCATCATGTTGTGCAACCGGGGTCCAGAAGAGAAAAGAAAGCATGAAGGAGCATCTGTGCCTAATATAAGCTTTGGCCCAGAAGTGGCACATGTCAGTTCTTTAATTTTATTGCTGAAATTTTAGATTCCAATTGTGTGCTCAGGAAGAAGGGTGAATATACTTTTTGGCACAGTTTGCTGCCTCTGAGACACACACACACGTACACATGTACACACACACACATATTACATTGGCAAAATTTTCTTAGGAATGAATACAACGGCTTAGCTAAGGGGACTTGAGTAAGTAATCTAGAGTCCAAATTCTACTTCTTCTTACTTGGGGCAGAGAGAGTGGTGCTCATCTAACCTTTCAGCAATTTCTCCATATTTTGCAGACTCCGTGAGGTTACAGATGGTCTTGTTCCAGCCAATGGCTGTAAGAAGATGATCCATGATATAAATGTCAGCAGATTCTCTAGTGCTATGGAGTCTGAGGTGGTCACATGTTCCAGAACCCGAAGCTTCCAGACGGTGGAGCTTCTATCAGCCAAGGTCTCTTAGTGACCACATGTGGGCAATGAGGGACAGGTGGTTTGAGGGGTAAAGAATATTTTTGAGTATTAGGATACATATAATCAAGGAGTTATCTGTTAACACAGCAGAACATAGCCTATTATATTACATGTCATTCGTATTTTTCTAGTTTCCTCCTCTATAAAATATAATAATAATACAAATACCAGATCACAGGGTCCTTGTGAAGATGAAATTACCTAATGCACATAAAACACAAATTACATTGCCTGCTTGGAATATGATAATTACTTAATACATTGTTAATTATTTATATCATTTTAGAAGTTAGAAAAATGTTAATGGGGCATCTTTAAGTCATATGTTTAATTATCATATATATATAAAGAGTTATCACAATTTCAAAAAGCATTTAGTGATTCAAATTTTACCACAATTTTACGATAGTTATTATTTCCATTTTACCAGTAAAAATAGATGTGCAAAATATTTAAGTGAATTTTAAACTCATAAAGCTAGTAATAGATAAATAAAAGCTGAAGCTAATACTAAGCTGAATTACACCAGAGAATGTTATACCATGTCTTTGGATATACTTCCCACTGTTAGAATATTCTAAAAATTAAATTTTTCTGTTTTACATACAATGTATTAAATAACCATTTATTTTATTATAACTATGATTTGCAGACAAATTTTGAAATCTTTTCTATTAGTAGATGAAAGGAATCTTCACAATAAATTGATTTCTTAAAATAAAATGTACAAAAGCCAGACCTTGTATACAGAATCAAGGCAGAAACTAAAGTGTGAAATAAAGTTAAGAGAGTGAGAAAAGGAAGAGAGAGCCAGAATTGAAAGAAGTAGAGTGAAAAAATCCAACAGCAATCGGTAACTGTGCTTTGTTTTGTCTTAGGAATGTTTGTTGGTTTTAATATGTAGTCAAATAAAAATATGACCAAAAGAATAACAACAACGTTTGGGGCCAAAGGCACAAGGACGAAAAACGATAAGATAAATAATATTTTCCTTTTTTTTCTTCTGAACTTCAGAGGAGAATCAGCAGCAAATTGAAAACTGAAGAATTAAATACAAGAAAACACCTAATGACTGTCAGTAACTTTGTAAGTCTCTACATAATTTCACTAGATCTTAATATACACTCTTAGTCACCATTAATTCTAAATTTTTAAAAAAATTTAGGAATTGTAGAAGATGTGAGAAATGAACTCCTTGCCGATGCCTATGTCCTGAATGGTAGACTGGATTAAGAAAATGTGGCACATATACACCATGGAATACTATGCAGCCATAAAAAATGATGAGTTCATGTCCTTTGTAGGGACATGGATGAAGCTGGAAACCATCATTCTCAGCAAACTATCGCAAGGACAAAAAACCAAACACCGCATGTTCTCACTCATAGGCGGGAACTGAACAATGAGAACACGTGGACACAGGAAGGGGAACATCACACACCAGGGCCTGTTGTGGGGTCAGGGGAGGGGGGAGGGATAGCATTAGGAGATATACCTAATGTTAAATGATGAGTTAATGGGTGCAGCACACCAATATGGCACATGTATACATATGTAACAAACCTGCACGTTGTGCACATGTACCCTAAAACTTAAAGTATAATGAAAAAAGAAAAAAAAAAGAAGAAGATGTGAGAAATGAAATGTTTTCTTGTTCAAATGGAGGAGAAGAAGAGTACAGATTCTAAAAATACAGAATGGTAAATTTAATGCAGACTTTTGTCCAAATTCTGGAAGAGAATATTAAATTAATTTCACTACTACCTAATAAAGAGACATTAATCACAGTAAGACTCATTGCTTGCAGAAACAGCTAAAGTCTACATTTAAATTTGCATCTTCTTCTAAAAGACTATCCGGAGAATGACAAGAACATAATGGAACTTGATGTCAGTATAAAATCTGACAGCATATCTTATATTAATTTTATAAAGTAGTTTGTATCATGTTGCACATTTCACAATTGCTTGAGTGACTGAGAGTAGACTCAGCTGCAGTGGAAAACATGCTTAACCTGAAAGCAGAAGACATGGATCTGAATATTTTTCTCTAGCTCCTTTGATTTCAGAAATCAATTACACAAATAAATTAAAAATGGAAAAAATAACTCAGTGACTTAGCTGTAAAAAAAAGCAAATTACTTATTTCATAAAATCAAAGTTTCATAATTAATTGAGAAAAATACCTTTGAGATTGCTTTGTAAACTGTAGTACAATCAAAAAAAATTGTTATTCATAATCTACCAATAACTCCACACACATATTACCTACCATTTTTCTAGAGCATCACATAGAATATATTGTTTTACTACTGCAATTTCTTTTTTTTTTTCTTTTTTCTCTATCCTTTTACAAAATTACTTTTCCCTAAAATCTGGTGTTTGGAAGTTAAATACCTGTTTTTATTCTCGTATTTGATGTTTTAAGTATGCTCACCTGAGTTAACCAATCACCAATATCTCTACTCACCTTCCAGACAAGATATACACCTTGGAATAATTTTCCTCAGATCCCTCCCTCCCATTCTACATGTAAATATTGTTTAGTATTTTAGAACCATTTTATTTTATTTTACTTCTTCCCTGAATGGCTCATGACTATTCTTTTATATGACAACAGCTTTTATTTCCAAACATGTTTACTTATTTTCATTATACCTTCTCTTCTTCTTGGAACAAATTTCCTCCCTCACGGTTTAATTTTATTCTTCCTAAAATTCAGTATTAGAAATTCATTTCTCTTAGAGTTGTGGGTTGGAAGTACATATTTTAAAAAAAAAGTCTAAAAACTTTGTTTTCTTTCATTATAAATTATAGTTTGGTGGGTTTTTGAATTCTAGGTTGACAGAATTTCTTTCAGCACTTTGAAAAAATTATTTAGTTTTCTGTTGGCTTCTATTATTGCTGTAGAGCACCTGTGTCCATAAAATTGTTTCATACCTTTGTAAGTTTTCTCCTTAATTTTTGTTTTTTTTTCCAAAACTTCTTTTTGCCTTTGTTCAGCATTCTCTGATATCCTCTTTCATTAGAAGTCCAATGAGATACATGTCAGATATTCTCAAAATATTCATATGTACTGATCGTTCTCATAGTTTCCATCTCTTTATCTTTTTGTTCTTCATTTGAGATGATTTAATTAATGCCGATAACCAGGTTACAAATGCTCTTTTCAGGTGCATATACACTTTTATTTCACCCATCCCTTGAGTTTTTTATTCTAATAAATACTTTTCTTAATTTCTAAAATCTACAGGTTTAAACATTCTCATTTTAATAGCAACATGTAATTTTCTCATGTTCTTGAAATGCTGTCGCTTTAGATTGTGTCTACTATCTGGCAATTTTGCCGAGTCTAATTCAGCTGTTTCTTACTTCTATTGATGCATTTTTCTTAAAGTGTATTCTTGTTATTTTGAAGTATAAGCTCCTGTTCCGTGGAATGTTATTAGGATAGAATAAACTTTTTAAAGCATATTTATTTTTCTCAAGAAAGAGACATTTTGAATTTTATTTTATCAGGCACACAAGTTTGGTTAACAGTCTAGAGCTATTTAATGGTGATTCATCTGTCTTGGTTTACAAAACCATGCAAATAATATGAATTCAAACCCAAGCGGGCATCAGAGAAAACCTGTGGTTGTCAAATGTCAGGTAAAAGCATTTTTTTTTTCTTCTCCTGCAACCGAGAAGGAAACACTTACTCTTGCTTGTCGTCTTTTGTCTCTGCGTATATTTTCCCTAATGCACACATTTTCACTTAGTGTTGGCTCCTTAAAGTGGCCTGCATTTTTCTAGGGCTCCCTTTATTTTTTATTTATTTATTTATTTATTTATTTATTTATTTATTTATTTATTTATTCATTGAGACGGAGTTTCGCTCTTGTTGCACAGGCTGGAGAGCAATGGTGCGATGTCTGCTCACCGCAACCTCTGCCTCCCAGGTTCAAGCGATTCTCCTGCTTCAGTCTCCCAAGTAGCTGGGATTACAGGCATGCGCCAAAATGCCCGGCTAATTTTGTATTTTTAGTAGAGACAGGGTTTCTCCATGTTGGTCAGCCTGGCCTCAAACTCCCGACCTCAGGTGATCCACCAGCCTCGGCCTCCCAAAGTTCTGGGATTACAGGCGCGAGCCACCCCTCCAGGCCGCTAGGGCTCCTTTTAAGATACAAACTCCTCGCCTTATACAAGACTCAATCTTTGACTTCCGTTGGTACATTACCTTTAAAACACATACTACTTGACTGATGAGATAACTGAACACTTGGCCACGTCTCAAAGCAGCAAAATGGTTGTTAGCTTCTGCTTTTTATTCTGCTTTTCAGCTGTCTCTTCCTTTTCTATATTTTTCTGAAAATCTCAACTGTGCATATATTTGTCAAATGTTATTCAGCATGTTTAAGTTTTTTATAAAGGAATAGTTTCAGATAATATTACATGACAAATTCATGAATATGGCAGAGGTATCTATCAACAATTCATAGAACTCTTTTCTTTATCTTAGTTGGTTTATTCTTTCTTAATGTTTTGCTATAAATGAAGAGGATTTACCTAGAATATTTGTAGAATAAATAAAGCTGTGAGAGATAGCTAATGTGGTAAAAACAAAAACAATAAACAGTAAAATGATAAAAATGGGAAAAAGATAAAATTACCATACTTAAAATTATCAAGTGCAACGTAAAACCGGCATGACAAGACTGCTTTTGGTATAAGCAACTTGAAAACAGTGATTTCAATGAAACAAGGATATTTACCCCCAAAGGAGGAATCAGAGGTCTTTAAACATTTGAAGGATGATGAAAGAAAGGTTATACATTTTTTATGCTGCTCTGGAAGGTGATTTGGAATAAAATTCTACGAATTACAAAGGGAGAAATGCTGGATCAATGTAAGGAAGACATTTTAGACAATTAGAGATTTTACCAAAGAATTGGCTTCTGTCCAAAGCATTAAGAATTATTGCAGAAGACAACACATGAATGTCTACTTAAGATGCTGTAGGTGGGTTTCTGGCTTTTGAATTTCACTGATGGCATAAGGTTTCATGAAAATGTATTAGTCTATGGTTCTATAATTATACATTTGCTCTTTGCAATCAGGAAAATATACAAGTATGTTATTCACTAGCTCTTTATAAAACATACAGCCACCATATTGAGTAAAATATTTTTACTATATAATTCTCAGTGCTACAATTTATGTTAGATGACTCAAAAGCTCTTAAAAACTAATTATTAAGTATTGTAGGTGATATGTCATATAACTTCTGTGATTGTTTCAACTTTTCTCAAAAACAAAGCTTCAATAGCTCTAAAATGTTTTAGAAAAACTCATAAGAAAGCTTTTGTATGGCTTTATTCTCCAAATAAAAATTAATTATAAATTTAATTTGATATAACAACAAAGATGTAACAGTTTATGTCTCATTCTGCAAAAACAATCTTCCTTTTTCAAATGCAATATTGGTTGTTACTAAATGTCAAGTCTGTTATGGATTATGTTAGTTTGCTTACCACATATATTTCAAATTTTTAGCTTAACATATTCAGCTTGGTTTTATATATTGCTTCATTTCATAGGTGCTGACTGAGCATCTGTTTGTTTGTGTTTTTGTGAGGGGCCTGTGGGTGTTGTGATGAAACAATGAAAGGAGAAAAAGAAACCTTGGCTATATTCTAATAAATGTTATGTTCAGTGGGCTGGGCAGACTTTAATTAAAGAAGCACTTAGTAAATATTTTTTTAAAATACTAATAAGTCTTCAAGAGAAAAGGAAGGTAGTGAGGAAATAGCGTTTATTAGAGGAAGCTGTGTAAGGAGGTCAGAAAAATCTTCTCGAAGTAAATGATTGATCTGAGATCTGAAAAGTAGTAGGCGGTACGTAGATAAAAGGGAGAGAATGATAGAGGCATGATGGAGTTCTTGAAACTATTTCAGAAAGGAGAAACATCTTGATAAAATTACCTAGAGCATGAAGGAGTTTGCTAAGCTATAGAAATTAAATGAAGGTCACGTGGCTGCAGTACAGAAAAGCAGCAATGACATGACGGAAGATGAGACGTGACAGAATGATGACTTTTTTTCTACTTACGGAGTAAACTTTACATTGTGTTTAAAACCTAGCAATGAAATATTCCAATATATAAAATTGTATAAGCAATTTATGCACACTAACTTTCTTGAAACATTTATATTTTTATATACTTCAACTCTACTGGTTTCATTTTCAATGCCGGTAAATGATAGCTGAATATCTTTGAAAAGTTCAGGGTAGTCAAAACCAGCATCCCCTTCCTTAAACGTTGCATTTCACTGTCCCTTTTGTCCCATGGCCCTGCAAAGTTAAAGCCCATTTTTCCATTGTTACTTCACTGCTCAACTTTATGTACACTTAGTTCATACTCTCTCTGTTTTGTTGTTGGTGGTGCTTGTTTTTCGTTTATTTATCAAATTTTATTCACAGTTCAACATATTTCGATCTGGCTTCTGGCTGCATCACTCCACCAATATTCTTCTTAATAAGATCTCCAATGATTCCTTCTTGTTAACTCATAGAATACATTTTAGTCCTTATTTTGCTGACCATTACCATCATTGGATACCATTAACCATTGTACCCTTTAAACAATCTTACTTGAGGTTATACAACTGACCCTTGCCTTGATTTTCTCCTCTATGTCAACCATTGTTATGGTTTCTCCTTCTCTTTTCAACAGTTTAGTAAAGTTCTTAGCTCTCTGTCATGAATTTATTTGTAGCTGACTCTGTATTGTTTATAAATGATTTCCTCTACCTCACCTCCATGACTTCAATACCATTTGTCCACTTTCACCAATTGTACAGCCAATGACAACCTAATCCAAACCACCATAATCGTTTGCTTGGTATGATGGTTAATTTTATATGTAAACTTGACTGGGCCACAAGGTGTCTAGACATTTGGTTAAATTTTATTTCGTGTGTGTCTTTGAAGGTATTTCTGAATGTGACTAACGTTTGAATCAATAGACTAAGAAAAGCAGATTGTTCTCTCTAATGTGGGTGAGCGTCGTCCAATCAATTAAAAACTTGAATGGAACAAAAAGGCCGAATAAGAGGGAACTCCTCCTGCCTGACTGCTTGAGCTGACATATTGATCTTTTATGATTTTCAGGCTCAGACCAAAACATTGGCTTTCCTTGAGTCTTGAGACTGCTGACTTTTAGAGTGAAACTTACACCACCAGCTCTCCTGGTTCTCAGGCCTCCTGACTCAGATTGGAACTACACATTGGCTCTCTCTGGCCACTGCTTCAGCACTGACTGTACATCCTGGGACTCCTCAGCCTCCGTATTCAAAGTGGGTTCCACATCTGTGGATTCAACCAACTGTGTATCAAAAATATTTTTAATTTAAAAAAAATAGCATCTGTAATTGAACATGTACAGACTTTTTTCCTTGCCATAATTCTCTAAACAATACATTATAACAACTATTTACATACCATTTAAATTGCATTACATAGCATTTAAATTATATTAGGTATTATAAGTAATCTAAAGATAATTTAAAGTATACGAGAGGATGTGCATAGATGATATGCAAATACTAATACACTTTACGTCAGGGACTTGAGCATCTTCAAATTTCAGTATCCATGGGGTCCTGGAACCATGGCCTTATTGGCACCAAGGAATAAATGTTTAAATATATACACATTGTATTAGTTCTGTTTCTCTGGAGAACCCTGACCACTATAGCTGCACTGCTGAAATATCTTACTCTTTTTTTTTTTTTAACCCTCAATCACTTTTTTAATATATTCTTTTCTCTGTAGCCTTAATGTGGTCAGAATCTTAATGTGCCCCTGTTGTATCTGTTCAATAATTAAGTGTTGAAGGATTCAAAGCCTTTGATTATCTGACTTTTCCATCTCTCTTACTTCACTGGTCACTATTCTCTATTATTTATTTTCTTTTTTCCACCCTGCTCTGACGTTGCACATTCCAATGTTTGATTAGCTCACACTTCCTCTGAACTCTCAAGCTTTAAGGATGTTGTTTTATCTGTCTGAAATTCTCTATACACTCCTGTTCCCTACAGTTTTTTCCATGTAACTCAAACTTCAGGTGTGCTTATTCCAAAGTTTCCTTTGTTATGTTCTGTCATAATTTCTTTTTATAACTTTTTAAATGTCATCAAATTTATAAATTACTTTTTGTCTCCTTCACACTAAACTTGTGGGTAAATGACTTTTTCTCTCTCAGTACTTATTATGCCTTTGGATGCTAGAACAGAGGAATTAATCAATATATACATTGAATTAAAATGAATGTTATGAGATATTAATTTTTACAAGTGAATTTGATTGACAATGTTCTCCTAGAAAATAGAGATGATTAAGAGATCCTCTAGTTACCAGTGGCTGGAGTATTGTGGAGATGTTCTTCAAAGAAAATTAAATTTTCATTAAATAAGAGGAATCTGTTCAAGTGATCTGTTGTACAACATGGTGACTATAGTTAATAACAATGTATTGTATTTTTGAAAATCCCTTAGAGAGTAAACTTTGTGTTCTCACCACAAAAAATTATACATATGTGAGGTAATGAATATGTTAATTAGCTCAATTGAGACATTTCACTATGTATACATATATACATAACATGTTATACATAAGTATAAGCAATGTTTTAATTAAAAATTAATTCATTTAAGAAATTAAAATCAAAAACATAAATTTTTAAAAGAAACCCTTAATTATTCAGTGTCCAGGAAAGAGCTTACCACAACTAACCATGCTTCACATATGACTTAAAAAAATACTCAACCATGTCCTTCTTACTTACCTTTGTTAGGGCCAGATTAAGACATTCCAAATCCCCGTTCTTTGTCCCGTAAATGGTAACTGATTAGACGAACTCCTCGTATCCACTAGTCAATTTGTACAAAATACCTGCTTTCTGGAAATGATCAAACTACGGTTAAAATTCTCTCCTTTCCCCTGGCTCCTGAAATTTGATCCTGAAATGCCTAGTCAGAGCTAGCATATAGCCCTTCCTTAATGGCCCCTCTCTAGAATAAGCTGGCCTCAGGGTAAAACATTTTCTGATTTACTGTACAATCACACTGCTCTCCCTCTGGAACGTCCTCTTACCTGGTTCTTTCTAGGCTTATTTGCTCTTCCTCATAAATAAAAAGCCTCTTTCTGCTTAAACTTTGAGATGCACATAGATCTTAGGTTCAGAGCATTCCCCCTGTTGCAATTGTCCCTTCTCTCCTCTTGCAATAATATTTTCAAATAAAATATTCTTACCTAAGTCTGGACTTGGTTTTTATTTGGCACTATGAAATTTGTGTTTCAACTAAGTGACTCTACTATCTCATGATTTAAATAATGGGTCAACCTCTAAATGCCTGACAACTTAAATTGAACCAGAGGTTTAATTTTCTTAAATAACAGAAATATTCTGGGCTAACTGTAAATTTATTAATGAATTTAATGAGTAAAATGGAAATGTTTGCCTTTCATCTATGCTCACACTGTTCTGTTCTTCTGTTGCTACTTCGATACCTGTAAAATGTGCTTTTCATCTTGCATACAAGCTTGCTTATACTTCAATAGATAAATAATAGCCTGCAACCTCAACCTAAGGAATTTATTTTTAAAAATAAGTTGAATTTTAAATCTATAATCTTTTAATGTTTCATCTTCATCTTGATCTGGATCTCAAAAACTATCAACCACACCTTGGAAAACTACTCAGATTTCCAATACTGAGTAGTTGTGCTGGCTGCTTAGTAGCTTTGCCTAGTTAAAATTTCTTGTATTACTTTTGTTTATGAAAGTGAGTTGGAATGATACATGCAAGATGATTTATCATTTCTACACTGTGAAATTACTTGTTTGATATTATTAATCAGTGTATCCTACCTAACACAGTAGAATAGCAGATATATTTTTAATACTTGCCAATCAAACACCAACATAGAGCAAAAAAAAAAAATGCAGAAGAGTAGGTGTGTTTTTGTTAAGAAACTAGGAAACCTGAATTCTATTTCTAACTCTTTCAGTAATCGTAGAAAAATTTTCTCTTTTCTCTTTTTGTTATTTTACTCACCTATGAGATTTTATTATTTGGATTAAATGATCCAAAAGACTTCTATTAACTCAAATTTTCTGATTTCGGATTTTAAAAGTGTTTACTTGTAGCAAGCAAAATGAAGACCTTATGGGGAGAGAAATCTTAAGAATACCAAAATGCAACCTGAGGGATCTATGTGCAACGCAGTTATGGTCATGACTGTTACAGGTAGTTAGGCATGAGTGGGGCAGGAGAGGGCTCTTCCCCCTCCCACTAGAAATGTCCAGTGATGTCCAGCAATTATAGCATTTTCTCTCTAAAAGTGATAAATTGGCAACCAGTGCCATGGAGAGGCCATTTCGTGATAGTTTGCACCTGTTAACATTAAAGTGTTAATTAAAGGCAGACCTCAGGGAGAAGCAACTTCCTGGGCATGCACATCAAGAGACAAAAACAGCAAAGTATGATCTTCTGGGTACACTCCATCAGAAAAAAGAAGACAGCCTCAGATGGACATGCATATAACTCCCTAAACACATTGACTGTGCTTAATTCCCAAAAGTAAGGAGGGCACCACACGTGTGGAAAGCCCCCACTAAGGGAAGAATCATGGGAAAGAGGTAAGCCTAGGAAGTCCCAGGACCAAGGTTAAAGGTGCTTGTTTTTTCTCATTCATGTTCAGGTGTCCACATGGATCTCTTCCAAGAGTTCTCACCTTTTTTTTTCTTTTTTCTTTTCCTGTTCTAAAGCCTTTTAAATAATCTTCCACTTCTGCTCTGAAATTTGTCTAGTCTCTTTTTCTGCTTTATGCCCCTCAGTCGAATTCTTTCTTCCCAGGAGTCAAGGGCTGAAGTTGCGGCAGATGCATACAAATTTGCTGCCAGCAACTCAAGGTAACTCAGATCTCTTCCACTGATAACAATAAACTGTTTGATTATTGAAGTGAAGATACACAGTATAACAGTATGTAAATGAATATCAGTCCATTTACAAAAAATATTGATATACATATAGCCATATTGTTTTATAACTATAAATAAGTCCATTTTTATAAATAAGAAATTTACACATAAACATATATATATATACACACACATCATGTAACTATATGTTTATAAATATCATTCCATTTTTATAAAATTTTATAAAGGGACTGATATTCATATACATATGGTTATATGATTGTTTTCTCTTCAACTGTATAACACATAATTCTCAAATACGTTAAGAATCCAAAAAGTCAGAGCTAGGATTATATGCACCACTTGTTCTATCCAAGATAGTTACATTCCTCATGTTTATATATTTCTCAAAACAGAGAATTAATGTTGCAATTAATTTCATCAGTTTCACATTATTAAAGCACATTATTTTATCATCACAATATCATATGAAGCTATAGCTATCTCAGACAAATATATAGAAACTGTCCAGTATTTAAAAATTTTATTAGGCTCATGTTACTTTATTAAAAAGCAACTTCGTGGCCAGGTGTGGCGGCTCATGCCTGTAATCCCAGCACTTTGGGAGGCTGAGGCGGGCAGATCATAAAGTCAGGAGCTCGTGACCAGCCTGGCTAGCATGATGAAATCCTGTCTCTACTAAAAACACAAAAAATTAGCCAGGCATGGTGGCACACGCCTGTAGTCCTACCTACTCGGGAGGCTGAGGCAGGAGAATTGCTGGAACCCAGCAGGCAGAGGTTGCAGTGAGCACAGATCATGCCACTGCACTCCAGTCTGGGGGACAGAGCAAAACTCCATCTAAAAAAAAAAAAAAAAAAAAAACCCAAAACAACTTCGTTTGACTACAGATTTGACCTCTAAGATGCAAACAGTATTCTTCATTCTGCTCCTTATTTTCTCTTTTAATAAAATAAAGGTATGGAAATGAAATTCCACTTCTAATTTTAAACCATATTTTAGATAGAATATCCAGTGACTTTCCTTTACATTTAATTTCATAGTTCGAGGTCTCTGCTGGGAACTGCTTCATTTCCACACTATTGAGTGGTATTTGTTAATATTAAATTAATTAACTAATTAATTTATTTATTTAAATAATTTCTGTTTTGTAGAGAAAGTGTCTTTCTATGTTTCTCACATTGATTTCCAACTCATGGCCTCAAACAATCCTCCTGCCTCAGCCTCCCAAAGTGCTAGAATTACAGGTGTGGCCTATCTTCAATTTAAAAGCAAATATTGAGCGCACTACTTTTGAAGCTTGATGACTTATTTTTAGAAATGACATACACACTAGAAAGAAGAATCTCATCTGTCGTTGGTCATAACACATATCCACCTTTTTAAATGATACAAAAACACAAGCAGAAGAGTCAAAAGGGATACATATGTAAAATTCAAACATTTATATACACATCAAGAAAGTTATATTCAATCTAAGAGTTTAGTTCTATAAAGAGGACATGGTTTAAGAACTATGGAGATTATACAAATAATTATTTGAATTATTTTACTCTTTCAGTAATTTTGTATTTTAAAGTAAATAAAGGCCATATTAGAGTTAATACAAATAGAAAGCATGCTTTAAGAAATACTTCACACTCATACTTTCATTCACTCAACATATTGTCTAGTAATATATTTAACAGTGAATTAAAAGAAGATATGCAGCTGGGTGCAGTGGCTCACGCCTGTAATCCCAGCACTTTGGGAGGCAGAGGCGGGTGGATTACGAGGTCAGGAGATCGAGACCATCCTGGCTAACACGGTGAAACCCCGTCTCTACTAAATATACAAAAAATTAGCCGAGCGTGGTGGCGGGAGCCTGTAGTCCCAGCTACTTGGGAGGCTGAGGCAGGAGAATGGTGTGAACCTGGGAGGCGGAGCTTGCAGTGAGCAGAGATCGCGCCACTGCACTCCAGTCTGGGTGACAGAGCGAGACTCAGTCTCAAAAAAAAAAAAAAAATGACATGCTACATTAAAATATTTCTATGGAATATAAAAACAACGAAATGGCTAAATGACTGCTGTCAATAGGAACATATTGAATACTGTCAAGAGGAACATATTTAATAAGATTTTACCATATTGTCCTGCAGTGTATTGGTTGTTACTGAAGAATCAAATCACAAGTGAAGTAGATTATTTCTATTCATTAAATCTTTATTGTTCAAGATATAATTTCCATTATCTAACATACATGTCTTAATTGTATTGCCTGGTTAATTTCTTTGGATGTGTCTTACTTGTATTGCCTGGTTAATTCCTTTTTTTTTTTTTTTTTTTGAGACAGAGTCTCACTCTGTTACCCAGGCTGGAGTGGAGTGGCGCGATCTCGGCTCACTGCAAGCTCCACCTCCCGGGTTCACGCCATTCTCCTGCCTCAGCCTCCAGAGTACCTGGGACTACAGGCGCCCGCCATCACGCCCGGCTAATTTTGTGTATTTTTTGGTAGAGACGGGGTTTCACCGTGTTAGGCAGGATGGTCTCTGCCTGGTTAATTTCTTTGGCGCAGTGAATAGCTAAAAAGTAAGGTAAATAACTACCATAGCTATGGAGTTGTAGCAGTAACATTTTTTTCTTCTCTATATAATTTATGTTTCTGTTATAATCATGACCAAATAATATTCTAAAGTACATTATGATCATATATTTCTTACAGGAATAGGCTTGGTTAGAAATACTTATGGTAAACTAAGGCTTGCAGAGCAATCAGGTCAGTTTACTGTGAGTAAACCCTAAAGAACACCAGAACTTTCTGCAAAACCTGGAAACTCAAAAAGCATTTATTTAACAATTATATGGTTACATTTCTGTATAACGTATTAATGTTATAGTGGTGAAAATTTTTAAAACTATTATACATTACTATGTGCATTCCTTTTTTTATACAAATTATTTAGCAGTGAGTATAATAAAAAAGAATGTTGCTTCCAACATGGGCCAAGAATAATAGCATAATTTCATATTTCAAAAAGCACACATGGTCAGTACATTTAACCATACTGATTTGTGTTTTGAGCAATTTTCATTCCCCATGATATCAAAGAGCTTTAAAATTCAGCACATTTTTATACAAAACATATTTAAAATTACTTCACACTTCAGTGAAATTCACTCAGCTTTAGGCTAAATATAGAAATGTAAGAGTCTACCACACTCATGTCAAAGCTGGTTAAAGGGGGAAAATAGAAAAGGTAATCTATCCAGCCCAAATCTCTGGGGAAATGTAACATGCATGTAACAGTATGTCCCTTTGGGCACAATACTGTTACTGTTTCATTTATTTTTTACTGAAACTGTTACATAAACCGCCCTGGAAAAAAATAATCCACTTTTAAATGACTTGTGCCTTATATGTACATTTATTAAATTTAGGATAGAGTTACAGAGAAGTTCAGTTTTTATAACTAGTCCTGTAATATAAAAAAATTTAAATATTATGTAAACATATTTGTTATGCAGTGGCTTAATATAAATAATAGTTCAAGATACATATATATGAAGCCAGTGATCATAAAATGAACCTAGAGCCATTTGAGGGTCATTTCAACTATAATAATCCCTAGTTTAAAAAGAAAAACACCCAGGGCTAAGTAAGGAAGATTTTATTCTCTTTTAAGAGCTGGAAAGTAATCCCTTTGGAATATATCACTTCATATATTCTGAACACTATGATTCTGGACCTTCTGACTCTCTAATTTAACTTCTGTGAATTTCATCTAAATATCTCATTTAACCCTGCCTCATTTTTTAAATGTGAATGACTCTAAAGTCTGAAGTGTGGAAAGCTGGGTTCCAATCTGTGCTTCCCACCTACGAATAGTGCAGCATTCATAAATTGTTTTAGCCTCTTCTGCCTCATTTATTCTCATCTGTTAAATGTGTATGATAGCAGATGCAGATCAGAAAATTATTCAAGGATTAATAAAAAAGTGTCTGTTAGCATTACCTGGCCAACGCTGCACAGTATGTCTATTGATATTAGCTGTTCTTATTTCTGTTTCTTTTCAAAACTATGCTATGCCTTTCTAGCCACCTTTAAGGTAGCTTTATCTAGCTGTATCACCAGTAATGAACACTTAATAAGGCCAAAATTAATTACAAAATAAAATAAAATGCACCTCTCATCACCAACAGTCTCTGTAATGTCACAACTACAGTTCCGGTCACCCACATTTGAAACATGAAATTGTCTCTTTTTATGTTTTTATAACATGTAATTATGAATTATATCCTCTAATTTCCCTCCCCCCTCCCCTAGCCCAGGATCCCTTTCAAAGCTTCTTGTCAAATATTAGAAGAAGTCTTCAGATGTCTTTCCTAGACTATAGTCTTCAAACAATTCATGCTGCTTCTGGTTATTTCTACTCCATAAGATGTTAAGTCTTTGCAGTTACATTGATCTTCCTAAAACACACTTCTTGCCACATTACACCTTTAGCCAAAAACTTTCAATGACACTGCAAGGCAAAACAAAGCCCAAATTTTCTATTCTATTACTCAATACCAACCTACTTCAAATACCAGTAGCGTGCATGTCTGTCTTCTCACCCTCACAGTTCAGGCTGCTATATCAGAATAACTTGGACAGGGTGATTTAAACAACAAATGTTCATTTCTCATAGTTCTGAAGGTTAGGAAGTCTAATATCGAAGTACTGGCAGATCAATGTCTGGTGAGGGCATTCTTTCTGATTCGCAGGTCATCTTCTCCCCGTATTCTCATACAGCAGACAGAGCAAGCTCTAGTCTTTCTCTCTTCTCATTGTAGGGCCTGAACTGTCATGACCTCCTCTAAACCTCATTACCTCCTAAATATCCCAGCTTAACATATGGATGTTGGTGTGGGGGGGACACAAACATATAGTTCATAAAATTAACATCCTGATGATATACTTGCTATTTCCTAGCAATACTCTGTCTTTTACAACCTTATGCTATTGGTTTCAATTTTCCAATAGTTTCCCTTGAGTATAGTGCACAGTCAGCTATTTATATTGAATGAAGGTAAGGATTAAGATATAATTTAAAATAAGAACAGGATGTCAAGTACAACAAAATTCTGAAAAAGAGAATATTTAAAAAGAGCACTTGTGTCCTCAGGCTGCTGTAACATACACTGCAAACCGGGGGCTTAAAGCAAATTTATTCTTGATGCTATATGTCCAAAATCAAGCTGCTAGTAGAGTTTAGTCCCTTCTAGAGGACTCTGGGAAGTGGCCGTGCCATCCTTCTATCCTAGCTTCTGATGGTTTTCAGACCTCATTGGCTTTCCTTAGCTTGTAGATGCATGACTCAGATCTCTGCACCCATTGTTGTCACGTGGCAATCTTTTCCCTGTGAGTCTTTGTGTCCTCATATGATAGTCTCCTTGGTCTCTCTTTCCTCTTTTTTATAAGGACACTGGTCATATTAGATTAAGAGCCTACTGTACTCTAGCATGATTCCATCTTAACTTTGTTAATTATATCTGCAACAACCCTATTTCCAAACAGGATCACATTTTGAGGTCCTGGAGGTTAGGACTTCAACATATCTTTTTTAAGGAACACAATCCAACCCATACTAAAAAAAAAAAATGGAGTAAAAAAAAATCAAAGATGCCAGACCATCTGAGTAGATTCTTCATGGCCTGGGTTGGTCTCTTCCTACGTGGGTTTATTTCTTATTCCCAAAACTTACATAGCTCTGTGGTATTGAGGAATTACTGAATCTCTCTGCACTGCAATTTCCTCATCCATAATGCAAAAATAACAATAATTCCCACTTCAAGGCATTTTTATAAGGACTAAAGAGTTTTGGCATAAATAGACCATTTAAAACAGTAGCTGTCATGTAGTCCTCAGTATGTGTGAATTTTTATTACTGCAGGCAGCTCTCAAGTAGTAGCCTCATGTTTCCAGTGTGAGTGTTGAAGGATGGACTTACCCCATTACCATGTACTTAACCTGATGTAATCTTACTTCTCTGACTTTGTTCCTTGATCTTTTTCAGTTTTCAATCTTTCTCTATTAAGAAAGCTATAAGAATGTCCATGGGATGTCTTTCCTAAAGGTATGATTAAGGCACCACATTTTATCTGTCTGAAGCAAAGAAAGTCATCAAGGAGGAAATGATTGCTGTCTTATTCCTAAAGATCAGAGTACTCAGGAATGAGCACTGGTGCCTCAGCTCTTCTCCAACAACAAACCTTGCCTTCAGAAGCATTTCTAGTTTTGCGTCTTTATATACCATCACAATGAACCCCATTTAAAAGACAAAAAAAAAAAAGAAAAAAAAAGAGGAGAGGAGAGGGTTTGAGGCAGCTTGCCCAGCGAGGAACTGATTGAGAGCCAGGAAAGGCTCCACATGAGGAAACAGAAAGAAACCCCTGAGCTTGGTTTTTATGATCTTAACTACAAGAGAAACCCTTGATCAACTAGGGTCTTGAAGCTGCCTAAAAATTGCAGAGAGGTTGCTCCAGAAAGGGAACCCACACAAAATCTAACAGGCATCTGAGCCTAGAGCAATTCAACACCATTTTGAAAGCCTAGATACTGAGGATCTACAAACATAGCCACTGCCACTGCACTGTTCCAAGGAGGAAAAGGAATGACAAGGTGCTCCCATGCACCCCTGGGAGAGTCCTGACTGTCTTGCTGTGAGCTGTTGTTGAGACTGAGACATGAGTGGACCATACTCCCTGCAGCATCTTGCTCATGCCACTTGCCTTGGAGGGAACCCACCATCCCTGGTCATAGGCCCAAGGTGCCACTTTTGGGAGTTTAATGTTGGGTTGTGCCCCACAGGCTGAATTTGAGTTGACATGGCTGCAGCCGCCATCCCTGTGAGGGGGAACAAGGAAACCAAGTTCTCTACACTCACTAAGACAGTAACTACTGTTCTGCTATGGGCTTTTGTGAGATGGAGACAAGGGGATCACACTCTACCCAGCTTCTTTCCCACAAGTCTTCCCTAAGAGGGGCCCTGTCTTCTCTGGTCCCAGGCCCAAGTTGTCATTTTAAGAATTTCATGTTGAGCTGTGCCCCATCCTCAGGCTGAGTTCAGTTTAACACAGCAGCAACTGTTGCCCTGCCAAAAAGGGACAGGGAACCAGACTCTCCTATGTATTTTTAGGACAATACCCATTGCCTTGCAATGGGTTGCTCTGAGACTGAAGCTTGAGGGGACCACACTCCCCATAGCTTCTTGCCCATGTTCCTTGCCATGGAGGGACTCCACCCTCTCTGGTCATAGGCCCAAGGCACCACTTGGGGAGTTTAATGCTGGGCTGGGCCCTACCCTTGGGCTGAGTTTTAGTTGACATGGCTGCAGCCACCATCTGGCTGATTTGGGACAAGGAAACCAAGCTCTTCTATACATACCTTGGACAATACCCACTGCCCTGCTATGGGCTTCTGTGAGACTGAAAATTGAGTGGATCACACTCCTTACAGCTTCTGCCCATGCTGTTTGCCTAAGGGGCATGCATAAGCAGCCCATGCTGATTTCTCTTGTCACAGGCCCACAGCTGGCATCACTTTGATAGTTTAACACTGGGCTGTGCCCCACTCTCAAACCAAGTTCAAGATGATATAGCTGCAGCCACCATCCAGCTGGGAGAGGAATAAGGGAAATCAAGCTCCCCTAAGCACATTTTGGACAATACCCATCATGCTTCTATAGGTGGCTGTGAAACCTTGGAGCAGTCTGTCCAATCCATTGAAGCTACCTGGACCTCTATCTGGGATGGCTTGGGTCCCAGTGGGTTGCTCCACCACTGTTATTGCAATCACCCACACAACCCATGCTGCCCACAAATCTGGCCCACTGCTTTCACTACTAGCTTCTAAGCAGCCACCTGAAGGTCCAAGAATCAGCCCTCTAGGACCCACGAATACCAGAGCCAGTGTAAGCTGCTCCGGACCCTAAAAACATGTTTGCCCCACTGCTACCACCACTGGAGCATGAAGACTGGCTCAGTTGTTATTCAAGTCCCCCAAAAACTTCACCACACCTCAACTAATTACTAATCAAGCCATCAAGGAAATCACAGATGCTACTGACCCTGTGTATTGCTGAAAAAGTCCTACTAAGATCACACTCCTGCAGGCACCCAAAATCAAAGCCAAAGTACCCTACTCAATCAACAGCATACATATATCTTGAGGAAGAAATTCTCCCCTACAAAGGCAATTTCAAAAAATCAAAACAAGTGACTGCTACACCAGGTGCATATATTTCAATGTAAAGACACACAAATCATGAACAAGCAAAAAAAAAAAAAAATAACAAAGGACCACAATTGTGCAGCTAGAAATCCAAATCAAATAAAATTTCTAAAAATGCCAGATAATAAATTGAAAATATTGATTTTTAAAGAAGTTCAGTGAGATGCAAGGGAAATCTGAAAACTTATGCAAAGAAATAAAAATATCAATTCAGGTTGTGCTAAGAAATTTACCAAGAAGACAGATATCTTAAAATAAGAACCAAGCATAAATTCTAGAAGTAAAAAAATCCTTGAAGGAAATGCAAAATACTTTTGAAAGTTTCAATAACAGACTAGACCAAGCAGAAGAAAGAATCTCAGAACTTGAAGACAGGTCTTTTGAAATAATCCAGTCAGACAAAAATAAGGGAAAAGGAATGAACAAAGAATTTCAGACATCTGGGACTACGTAAAGTGGCAAAACTTGTGAATTATTGGTGTTCCTGAGGGGTAACAGAGATAAAAATGTTTAAAAAGCCTACTTAAGGAATTAATTGTTGAAAACTTTCCAATCTAGCAAGAGAGTCACACATCTAGATACAGGAGGTCCAGTGTTTCCCAGGTAAATGCATTGCAAAATGAACTTCATCCAGCATATTATATTAAGAATGTCTAGGCCAGGCGTGGTGGCTCACACCTGTAATCCCAGCACTTTGGGAGGCCGAGCAAGGCAGATCACTAAGTCAGGAGCTTGAGCCCATCCTGGCTAACACGGTGAAACCCTGTCTCTACTAAAAATACAAACAATTAGCCAGATGTGTGGTGGGTGCCTGTAGTCCCAGCAACTCGGGAGGCTGAGGCAGGAGAATGGCGTGAACCCAGGAGGCAGAGCTTGCAGTAAGCCAAGATCATGCCACTTCACTCCAGCCTGGATGACAGAGCGAGACTCCGTCAAAAATAAAAAAAAAGAAAAAAATAATAAAATGACCAAGAGAAAAGCATCTAGTTGCCTATGACAGAAAGCCCCTCTAACAAATAGTACACATTTTAGGAGAAATGAATGAGATGAGTAAAAGACAGTGAGATGGCATTTTTACAATTCTAAGAGAGCAACAACAACAACAAAAGACCTGCCAGTCAAGAATTTCAAATCCTGCTAGTATAAGCTTCATAAATAAAGGAGAAATAAAGTATTTCCCAGACAGGTGAACAACAAAGGAATTTGTCACCACTAGACTGGTCCTACAGGAACTGTTCAAAGAGTACTTACACATTGAAATAAAAGGCCGGTATTCACAAAAACACTTGGAAATATAAAATCCACTGTTCTTATAAAACAATAACACAAAGAAGGAAGAGAAAGAAATCAAATGGCAACACAACAGAATCTCATCAAAATACAAAGATAAAAAGACAGAATAAGAAAGAAACAGAATTTATGAAACAACTTGAAACAATTAACAATGCAACAGAAACAAAGGCTCATATATTATATTACATTTGAATGTAAATGGATTAAATGATGCACTTAAATGGAACAGATTGGCAGAAATGATTAAAACATATGATCTGACTGTATGCTACCTCCAAGAAACTAACCTTACTTATAAAGACAGATATAGACTGAAAGTAAAGGGATAGGAAAAGATATTCCGTGGAAACTGAAACCAAAGGTAAGCAGGTGTAGCTATACTTACATTAAATAAAAGTATCCTTTAAATAAAAAAAGTAATAAAAGACAAGATCATTATAAAATGACAATGGAATAAATTCAGGAAGAGGATAAAACAATCCTATATATATATAAGCCCAATATCGCTGCACTCAAATTCAAAAACAAATATTACCAGACCTAAAGAAAAAGACAGACCGCAATACAGTAATAGTGGATGACTTCAAGACCCCACTCACAGCACCTGACAAATCATTGCGACAGAAAATTAACTAACTTAATCAGACGTTAAACCAAATGGACTTAAAAGACATTTCAGAACATTCTACCAAATGCAGAATATACATTCCTTTTATTAGAACATGGAATATTCTTTAAGATAGACCATGTTTTAGGCCACAAAAAGAGTCTTAAACTTTTTTTTTAATCAAAATTATATCAAGTATCTTCTCAGACCAGAATTGAATAAAACTAGAAACTAACACCAAGAAGAACTTCAGGAACTACACAAATAAATGGAAATTCAAAAGTATGCTCCTGAACAATCACTTGGCAATGAAGAAATTAAGACAGGAATTTAAAATTCTGAAACAAATAAAAATGAAATCACAGCATACCAAAACCTGTGTAATATAGCAAAAGCAATGCTAAGAGAAAAGTTTATAGCATTAAATGCCTACATCGAAAAAAGTAGAAAGATCACAAATTAACAATTAACATTATACCTTAGGAAACTAGAAAAAAAGAGAACAAACTAAACCCAAAGTGAACAGAAGAAAAAAATTAATGATCAGGAAAGAACTAAATTCAGTAGAGACAAAGAACAATAAAAATAATCAACAAAACAAAAAGTTTATTCTTCAAAGTGATTTACAAAAATGATAATCACAAACTAGAGTAACCAAAAAAGAAGGGAAAATTTAAATAAACACATTCAGAAATAAAAAATGAGACATTACAACTGATACCACAGAAACACAAAAGATCATCAGAGACTATTATAAATAACTTATGCTCAAATATTAGAAACCGAGAGGATATAAGTAAATTTCCAGAAAAAAATACAACCTCCTGAGATTGAATCTACAAGAAATAAAACTTCTGAACAGATTGACAATGAGTAGCAAGATTGAATCCGTAATAAAAAAAAAACTGCCAAAAAGAACAACCAAAAGCCCAGTGCCAGATGGATTCACAGTTGATTCTAACAAACATAAGATGAAAAACTGATATCAATACTCTTAAAAATATTCCAACTAATCAAAGAGGAAAAAATTTTCCCTAATTCACTCTATGAAGCTAGTATAACCCTGCAACTAACTAAAACCAAATGAGGACAAAAAAAAAAAGAAAGAAAGAAAAACTATAGGCCAATATCCGTTATGAACAGGTAGGATTTATCCCAGGGTTGCAAAGATGACTCAAGATATGTAAATAAATAAATGTAATACATCACATAAAGATAATTAAAGACAAAATCCATATGATCATCTCAGTAGATACAAAAAAGGCATTGGATAAAATTTAGCATACATCTATGATAAAACTCATCAATAAACTAGGCATAGGTGGAACAAACCTTAATATAATAAAAACAATATATAACAAACCCATAACCAACATCATACTCAATAAGAAAAAGTTGAAAACATCCTATCTAAGAACTGGAACAAGACAACAATGCCCACCTTCACTACTCTTATTCAATATAGTGCTAGAAGTCCTCACTAGAGCAATCAGAAATAGAAAAAAAGTCACCCAAATTGAAAAAGGAAGTTAAATTATCACTGTTCACTGATGAGATGATCTTATATTTAGAAAACCCTAATGACTCCACCAAAAAACTCTTAAAGCTGATAAATTAATTCAGCAAAGTTTCAGGATACAATATTAATAGACAGAAATCAGTAGCATTTCTATAGACCAATAATGATCTAGCCGAGGATCAAATCAACAAGGCAATTCAATTTACAATAGCCACAAAACTGTTTAGGAACATATTTAACCAGTGAGGTGAAAGATTTATATAAGGAGAACTACAGAAATCATAGATAACACAAACAAATGGAAAAACATCCTATGCTTATGGATAGGACGACTCCAGCCTGAGCAAGAGAGATACTCCATCTCATTTAAAAAAAAAAAAAAGGAAGAATCAATATCATTAGAATGATAATACTACCTGTATTAGTCAAGATTCTCTAGAGGGACAGAACTAAAGGAATATATATATATATATATATATATATATATATATATATATATATATATTATATATATATATATATATATATAAAATATATATATATATATATATGAGTTTATTAAGTATTAACTCACACGAGTTAATTATTATTACAAGTTATTAATTATAATCACATGAGTTATTATTATTAAGTATTAACTCACATGATCACAATGTCCCACAATATGCCATCTGCAGGCTGAGAAGCAAGGAGATCCAGTCCTAGTTCAAAAACTGAACAACTTGGAGTCCAATGTTCAAAGTCAGGAAGCATCCAGCACAGGAGAAAGATGTAGGCTGGGAGGCTAGGCTAGTCTCTCTTTTCACATTTCTCTGCCTGCTTATAGTCTAGCTGTATTGGCTGCTGATTAGATTGTGCCCACGCAAATTAAGGGTGGGTCTGCCATTCCCAGCCCACTAACTCAGATGTTAATCTTCTTTGGGAATACCCTCACAGGGACACCCAGGATCAATACTTTGTAACCTTCAATCCAATCAAGTTGACACTCAGTATTAACCATCACACTGCCCAAAGCAATCTATAGATTCAACATAATCTCTATGAAATTACTGATGTCATTTTTTTAGAGAATTATAAAAACATCTTAAAATTCATATGGAATAAAAAAAGAGCCTGTATAGCCAAAACAATTCTAAGCAAAAGGAACAAAGCTGGAGGCATCACATTACCTGACTTCAACTTATACTACTAGACTACAAACAGTAACCAAAGAAGCATGGTACTCGTATAAAAATAGACACATAGATCAATGGAACAGAATAGAGTTCCGAGAAATAAAGTCACATACCTAAAACCATCGGATCTTTGACAAAGTCAACAAAAATATACACTAGAGAAAAAACACCTATTTCAGTAAAAAGTGCTTGACAAATTGGGCTGCCCTATGAAGAAGAATTAAACTAGCACCATACCTCTTAACATATACAAAAATTAACTGAATGTGGATTAAAGATCTAAATATAAGACCTGTAGTTATACAAATTCCAGAAGAAAATCTAAGAAAAACTTTTCCGGTCATTGGCTTAGGCAAATAATTTATGACAAAGTCCTCAAAAGCAAGTGCAACAAAAACAAAAATAGACAAATGGGATGTAATTCAACTAAAAAGCTTCTGCACAGCAAAAGAAATAATCAACAGAGTAAACAGACAACATGTAGAATGGGAAACAATATTTGAAAACTATGCCATTGACAAAAGGCAAATATCTAGAATCTATAAGGAACCCAAACAGCATAATGAGGATAAAGCAAATAACCCTAATAAAAAAGGGGACAAAGGATATGAGCAGACATTTTTCAAAAGAAGACACACAAGTGGCCAACAAACATGAAAAAGTGCTCAGCATCACTAATCATCAAATTAAAACCAAAATGAGATACGATTTTATAGCAGGCAGAATGGCTACTACTAAAAAGTTGAAAAAAAAGAAAAAAAAAGATGTTGATGGGACTGCTTATACACTTAGTATAACCTTTATGGAAAATAGTATGGAGATTTCTCCAGGAATTAAAAATAGAACTACCATTTGATCTAACAACCTGAATACTGGTTATCTACCCAAAAACGAAGAAATCACTGTATCAAAAACATATCTGCACTCATATGTTTATTGCAGCACTATTTACAATAGCAAAGATATGGAATAAATGTTAAGTGTCCATCATTGGAGGCACACAAATACACACACACATACATACATATTCCAGGGTATGTTTGTGTATACATTTATATCTAGGTATGAAAGTACACACATGCACACATAAATTCCACAGTAGTATTCCATGATGTGTACGTATATATATCCAAAACAATGAAGTCATGTATTTTGCAACTGGAGGCTATTATTTTAACTGAAATAACTCAGAAACAGAAAAATCAAATACAGAATATTCTCATTTATAAGTGGGAGCTAAACAATGGATAGACATGAACATAAAGAGTAGAATACTACACATAGGAGACTTCAAAACGTGGGAGATAGGAAAGGAGTGAGGGGTAAAAAATTTACCTATTGGGTACAATGTTCACTATTCAGGTAATGAATACACTAAAAGTCTAAACTTCACTACTACAAAATATATGCATGTAAGAAATCTGTATATGCATGCCATATAAATATTTTTTATTTATTTAATTTTTAAATATACTTTAAGTTCTGTGATACATGTGCAAAACCTGAAGGTTTGTAACATAAGTATACATGTGCCAAAGTGGTTTGCTGCACCCATCAACCCATCATCTACATTAGGTATTTCTCCTAATGCTATCCCTCCCCAATGACCCTGCTCCCCAGACAGGACCCAGTGTATGATGTTCCCCTCCCTGTGTCCATGTGTTCCTATTGTTCAACTCCCATTTATAAGTGGGAACATGCAGTGTTTGGTTTTCTGTTCCTGCGTAAGTTTGCTGCTGAGAATGATGCTTTCCACCTTCATCTCTGTCCCTGCAGAGGGACATGGCTTTTTTATGGCTGCATAGTGTTCCATGGTGTATATGTGCCACATTTTCTTTATCCAGTCTATCATTGATGGGAATTTGGGTTAGTTCAAAGTCTTTGCCATTGTGAATACAGCGGCAATAAACATAGGTGTGCAGGTGTCTTTATAATAGCATGATTTATAATCCTTTGGGTATATATCCAGTAATGGGATTGCTGGGTCAAATGGTATTTCTAGTTCTAGATCCTTGAGGAATTGTCACACTGTCTTCCACAATGGTTGAACTAACTTACACTCCCACAAACAGAGTAAAAGCATTCCTATTTCTCCACATCCTCTCTAGCATCTGTTGTTTCCTTACATTTTAATGATCACCATCCTGATGTGAGATGGTATCTCATTGTGGTTTTGATTTGCATTTCTCTAATGACCAGTGATGATGAGGTTTCTTCACATCTTTGTTGACCACATAAATGTCTTCTTTTGAGAAGTGTCTGTTCATATCCTTTGCCCACTTTTTGATGGGGTTGTTTGTTTCTTGTAAATTTGTTTAAGTTCCTTGTAGATTCTGGGTATTAGCCCTTGGTCAGATGGATAGATTGCAAAAATTTTCTCCTTTTCTGTAGTTGCCTGTTCACTCTGATAATAGTTTCTTTTGCTGTGCAGAAGCTCTTTAGTTTAATTAGATCCCATTTGTCAATTTTGGCTTTTCTTGACCTTGCTTTTGGTGTTTTAGTCATGAAGTCTTTGCTCATGCCTATGTCCTGAATGGTATTGCCTAGGTTTTCTTCTAGGGTTTTTATGGTTTTAGGTCTTACATTTAAGTCTTTAATCCATCTTGAGTTAATTTTTGTATAAGGTATAAGGAAGGGGTCCAGTTTCAGTTTTCTGCATATGGCTAGCTAGTTTTCCTAACACCATTTATTAAATAGGAAATCCTTTCCCCATTGCTGGTTTTTGTCAAATTTGACAAAGATCAGATGGTTTAGATGTGTGGCATTATTGCTGAGGCCTCTGTTCTCTTCCATTGGTCTATATATACATATGTTTTGGTACCAGTACCATGCTGTTTTGGTTACTGTAGCCTTGTAGTAGAATTTGAAGTCAGGTAGCATGATGCCTTCAGCTTTGTTCTTTTTGCTTAGGATTGTCTTGGCTATACAAGCTCTTTTTGGTTTCATATTAAATTTAAAGTAGTTTTTTCTAATTCACGAGAACTTCATAAAGGATACACAAGTATCAGTAGCTGAATATATCAAGTGGAAGAAAGGATACCAGAGATTGAAGATCAACTTAATAAAGGAAAGTGTGAAGACAAGACTAGAGAAAAAAGAATGAAAAGGAACAAACAAATCCTCCAAGAATATCGAACTGTATGAAAAGATCAAACCTACATTTTATTTGTGTACCTGAAAGTGACAGGGAGAATGGAACCAAGCTGGAAAACACTCCTCAGGATATTATCCAGGAGAACTTCCCCAACCTAGCAAGACAGGTCAACATTCAAATTCAGGAAATACAGAGAACACCGCAAAGATACTCCTCAAGAAGAGCAACCCCAAGACACATAATCATCAAATTCACCAAGGTTGAAATGAAGGAAAAAATGTTAAGGGCAGCCAGAGAGAAAGGCCAAGTTACCCACAAAGGGAAGACCACCAGACTAACAGTGGATCTCTCTTCAGAAACCCTACAAGCCAGAAGAGAGTGGGGGCCAATATTCAACATTCTTAAAGGAAAGAATTTTCAACCCAGAATTTCATATGCAGCCAAACTAAGCTTCATAAGTGAAAGACAAATAAAATCCTTTACAGACAAGCAAATGCTGAGAGATTTTGTCACCACTAGTCCTGCCTTACAAGGGCTCCTGAAGGAAGCACTAAATATGGAAAGGAAAAACCAATACCAGCCACTGCAAAAACATACCAAATTGTAAAGATCATCGACATTATGAAGAAACTGCATCAACTAACATGCAAAATAAACAGCTAGCATCATAATGACAGGATCAAATTCACTCATAGCAATATTAACCTTAAATATAAATAGGCTAAATGCCCCAGTTAAAAGACACAGACTGGCAAACTGGATAGAGTCAAAACCCATCAGTGTGCTGTATTCAGGAGCTCCATCTCATGTGCAAAGGTGCACATAGGCTCAAAATAAAGGGATGGAGATATATTTACCAAGCAAATGGAAAGCAAAGAATGACAGGGGTTGCAATACTAGTCTCTGATAAAAGACATTAATCCAACAAAGGTTAAAAAAGACAAAGAAGGGCATTACATAATGGTAAAAGGATCAATGCAACAGGAAGAGCTAACTATCATAAATATATATGCACCCAATACAGGAGCACCCAGATTCATAAAGCAAGTTCTTAGAGACCTACAAAGAGATTTAGACTTCCATACAATAATAGTGGGAGATTTTAACACCCCACTGTCCATATTCGACAGATCAACAAGACAGAAAATTAATAAGGATATTCAGGACTTGAACTCAGCTCTGAGCCAAGCGGATCTAATAGACATCTACAGAACTCTCCACCCCAAATCAATAGAATATACATTTGTCTCAGCACCATATTGCACTTTTTCTAAAACTGACCACATAATTGGAGGTAAAACACTCCTCAGCAAATGTAAAAGAATGGAAATCATAACAATCTCTCAGACCACAGTGCAATCAAATTAGAACTCAGGATTAAGAAACTCACTCAAAACTGCACAACCACATGGAAACTGAACAACCTGCTCCTGAATGACTACTGAGTAAATAACGAAATTAAGGCAGAAATAAATAAGTTCTTTGAAACCAATGAGAACAAAGACACAATGTACGAGAATCTCTGGAACACAACTAAAGCAGTGTTTAGAGGGAAATGTATAGCACTAAATGCCCACAGGAGAAAGCAGAAAATATCTAAAATCAACATTTTAACATCACAATTAAAAGAACTAGAGAAGCAAGAGCAAACACATTCAAAAGCTAGCAGAACACAAGAAATAACTAAGAACAGAGCAGAACTAAACAGATAAAGACACGAAAAACCCTTCAAAAAAAATCAATGAATCCAGGATCTGGTTTTGTGAAAAGGTGAACAAAATAGACAAACCGCTAGCCAGACTAATAAAGAAGAAAAGAGAGAAGAATGACATAGACAGAATAAAAGATTATAAAGGGGATATCACAACTAATCCCACAAAAATACAAACTACCATCAGAGAATACTATAAACACTTCAACACAAATAAACTAGAAAATATAGAAGAAATGGATAAATTCTTGGACACATACACCTTCCCAAGCCTAAACCAGGAAGAAGTCGAACCCCTGAATAGACCAATAACAAGTTCTGAAATAGGGGCAGTAATTCATAGCTTACCAACCAAAAAAAAAAAGCCCAGGACCAGACAGATTCACAGCCGAATTCTACCAGAGTTACAAAGAGAAGCTGGTACCATTCCTCCTGAAACTATTCCAAACAATAGAATAAGAGGGATTCCTCCCTAACTCATTTTATGAGGCCAGCATCAGCAGCATCCTGATACCAAAACCTGGCAGAGACACAACAAAACAAGAAAATTTCAGGCCAATATCACTGATGAACATCGAGGCAAAAATCCTCAATAAAATACTGGCAAACTGAATCCAGCAGCACATTAAAAAGCTTATTCACCACGATCAAGTCGGCTTCATCCATGGGTTGCAAGGCTGGTTCAACATATGCAAATCAATAAACTTAATCCATCACATAAACAGAACAAATGACAAAAACCACATGATTATTTCAATAGATGCAGTAAAGGCCTTTGATAAAATTCAACACCGCTTTATGCTGAAAACTCTCAATAAACTCGGTATTGATGAGAGCTATTTATGACAAACCCACAGCCAATATCATACTGAATGGGCAAAAGCTGGAAGCATTCCCTTTGAAAACTGGCACAACACAAGAATGCCATCTCTCACCAATCCTATTCAACATAGTATTGGAAGTTCTGTCCAGGGAAATCAGGCAAGAGAAAGAAATACAGAGTATTCACATAGGAAGAGAGGAAGTCAAATTGTCTCTCTTTGTAGATAACATGATTGTATATTTAGAAAATGTTGGGGAAAGCTGAGTGTTGGGAGAAGCTGAGGCAGGGCTTGCATGTCTGACATAGTGTAAAAGAGTCTTGGAACATGTTCGAGGTCCAAGGTCTAAAACCCCTTGTGGCCTTTGGAACACCAAGCTCTGTGCTAAAGGGTGGAAGGCTACCCTGATGCACCATAGTCTAAGCCCAGGGCATAAAATCCCTCATGGCTTGGATAGAATCCAGGATTTGTGGCTCTGGAATGTGTCTAGACTTGCTGGCTCCTTGCTCCTTGCTCTCCCAGGATCCATTGTGTCTTGAGTTAAAAGAACCTGCTCTCCATTATCTCAAGTAGCAGAGCAAATGCTAAACCATCACAGCTGTAAATCATGTGCTTAATACAATGCACCCATTGGACCTCCACATTCTCACCATATGTTTCTTTGTTGAATTACCAATAAATAACGTGGACTCCCAGAGCTCAGGGCCTTCACAGCCTCCACAATCGCAATGGCCCCCTGATGCCCACATTTCTCTCTCAAACTGTCTTTTTCTCAATCCTTTGACTCCACCGGACTTTGTCACCCACACGACCTGGTGTTGGGTCTGATCACACCAACATTCCTGGCTGCTCAATGTGGGGCGACAAAGACCTCGGTGAAGGAATGCAAGAGCACGTGAAAGTGAAGGATGCATCGTCAAAGGACACCCGAATGTCTAAAAGAAGCTCGGCGGGAAAGCTGAGCGCTCAGAAGAACCAGGGTAACAATGGGACAAAGTGAAAGCAGACATTCTGCTTGTTTAAATTTCTTAAGGCATTTATTACAAAGATGGGGAGTGAAAGTTGGTACTCAGAATTTGTTATCACTCTTTAGCGCAGTAAAGCAGTTTTGCCCATGGTTCCCAGAACAAGAGACTATGGAGTTGGATGAATGGGAGAGAATTGGCAGAGATTTTTAAAAAGCGTATAAAGATGGAGCAAAAATTCCAGTCTCAGTTTGGTCAATGTGGGAGCTAATAAAAGCAGCTCTTGAGCCATTTCAAACAGATGATGAGACAGATTCAGATGAGGAAGAGGTGGACGAGTGTAAAAAACTAACTTCAGATTCTGAATGTGAGGAATAGAAACTGGAGGAAGTTAAAGAAAAGAAAGGGAAACTAAAAATAGTGTGTTTTACTAGCCTGTTGGCTCCACCTGCTGAATTAAGTGAATGGCCACCTCCTCTCTCTCCCCTTAATGGGTGAGAAAATGAATTAGCTACATAACTTACCCCTCCTATAGCTGCAACATTAAAACCCGGAGCAATTGGTAGTACTAAGACCCAGTGGAATCTGAGGCTTGTTTATTCAGACAGCACCTCAATAAATTGAGGCATATCCGGCACAGCCAGTGCCCTTACAAACAGCAACAATTGTCTCCCGCTGTGGTAAGCAGTGCTGCCGTGGACCTTTGCAGTGCAGTTCCCATTTCCCTGCTTCTGGGGGAGCCACCCGAGATGGTCCCCAGGGGAGTTGGGGGACCATTTCCTTCAGGAACAGTAGGTCTATTACTTGAAAGATCTAGAGGTGTCACTGTGCATATGGGAATGATTGGTTCTTTTTATACCAGAGAAATTCAATTAGTTATTAGTTGCTCAACTCCATGGTCTGCTTCCCTAGAAGAAAGAATTGCTCAGTTGTTGACATAAAGCTGGGAAGCAGCACAGTGAAAAGAACAGGAGGCTTTGGTAGTACTAATCCAACAGGAAAGGCTATATATTGGGTTAATCAAGTGTCTGTACAAAAGACCTATTTGTACAGTAGACCTGCTGTTGGATGCTTACAGATGGACACACAGGCCTGGTTGGCAGTAGTCCCCGGAAAAAATAAATCATGGGTTGCTTTGCATAGTGCAAGTAAAGTCATCTTGAAGCTTCGGTTTCATGGTTAACCTGCCTCTGCAGATTTAATGAGCACATAGGCATGATATGGGCTGAATGTGTTCATTGTGGCGTTTGTGGCTTTTATGATGGGAATATTCAACCTCTAATCCTACTACATTGGTGAAAAACAAAATGAAGCCTTCACAACAGAGTTTTAAGACACTGTTCTGGGCTATCTTTGGACTTTCTGAAGTGAAATCAGTGGTCATCAACTATAACCACAAATTAATTGAAAACATTGGTTATGTTCTTTATGGAGTCCATAATGTTACAATGGTCATTGTTTTGCTAAAATTGCCATGATCAACAGTTTATTCCAGGAAATTGAGGATGACGCTGATGTGGAGTGGAAATTTGCAAGGGCCAAACTCTCATTTTCCTGCTTTGGGGAGGGGAGAGCACTTCCTGTTCCCTTCAATCTGGTGCCGGGTCCGAGGTCCCTGTTTTGTCTCTTGCTGAAGCTTAAAGGGTGGATTTCTGAGCTCTACCCAAGGTCATTAAAAAGGTTTCCAGGAAAGATGTAGAGATAAGTAAGTAAAGTAGAGACAAGTAAGTAAGTAGAGACAAGTAAGTAGAGCTAAGTATAAACAGAGATAGAGGTAAGTAGAGAGAGAGATAAGTAGAGAGAGAGAGGTAAGTAGAGAGAGGTAAGTAGAGAGAGAGAAGTAGAGAGATGAAGACTAGCAATATAAGGTCAGTGCCCTAAAGAGGTACAAAAGCAAAGACTAACAGAGATTTGCAGGGACAGACAAGAACATTCTGAATTATAGAAATTAGTTATGGCTCAAAGGGCAAATATAAAAGGAATAGAGAGGAGGGAGATAAGGATAAAAATGCTCTTTCTTTTCTCTCCAACAGAACCTGTGGGTCCTTTAACTAAACTTAATCAAAGGGTGGATGCATTGGTGTCTGCAGCTTTTGCTGATGCACAAACATTCCATTATTAAACTCATCTTAATGCCACAGGCCTTAGAAAAAGATGTGGTCACATAAAAAGAGCTGGGAAAAAGGAAAGATAATTATATGAGGAAGAGGATTTGTGTATGTCTCTCCAGGTGACAATCAGCTGCCTATGTGGGTGCCCACCAAACATCCGAAGATCTATCAGGAGCCACAGCATCTAGTGGACCCACCTGTACAGTGCGAATTGAAGGTTTGAAAAGCCTCGATTTGCTTTCCTTGTGCCTTCTCTTAGAAGGGGCCTGTTTCTCATTATCAGTAGCCTCCCAGCTACAGCCACAAGTTTTTGCTTCTGTTTCAGTAGATTTACTAATGTATGGGTGAGGGAATGCTTGTATTTTTGCAGGAGATGAATGAACCGTGAGGATGCCCTCAAGATGTGTATGACCACGGAACAGGAGACTGGAGGGACCCATGGATCCCAACCATGGACCGGGTTCCCCCAGTATGAGCCATAAGCCAGTTGAATCTGAATGCGAAGATGGAACAAAGACCAACCAGAGTCACGATGCTTAATGGACCAATGCTTTCTGACTCAGCTCCTCTCTACCCTGAATATAAGAGACCCTAATAGTTAGGCAGGACTATCATCACCCCTATTCAGCATGAAGAAGTTACAGAAGACGGACCTTCATCCTTCTGCAACCCCTAGGATTAGGGGTCCTCTTGTAAAAGGGAAAGGGGAGATATGTGGAAAGCACTCAAACCAGAGTGACTCCAGTTTGAATAAGGGCTAAGAAAAATGAAGCTGGATCACCAACCGGCAATTAAGGGCTGCACAGCCTGCAATTGCCTTGCTCAATTAAAAGAGGTTACCTTTTATGCTAGTAATAACGATACCTTCTCTTTTACAAAAAAAGAGAAGGGGGGCATGTTGGGAAAATCTGAGTGTTGGGAGAAGCTGAGGCAGGGCTTGCATGTCTGACATAATGTAAAAGACTCTTGGAACATGTCCGGGGCCCAGGGTCTGAAACCCCTTGTGGCCTTTGGAACACCAAGCTCTGTGCTAAGGGGTGGAAGGCTACCCTGATGCACCATCATCTAAGCCCAGGGCATAAAATCCATTGTGGCTTGGACAGAATCCGGGGCTTGTGGCTCTGGAATGTGTGTAGACTTGGTGGCTCCTTGCTTCTTGCTCTCCCAGGATCCATTGTATGTTGAGTTAAAAGAACCTGCTCTCCATTATCAAGTAGCAGAGCAAGTGTGAAACCATCACAGCTGTAAATCATGTGCTTAATGCAATGCACCCGTTCGACCTCCACGTTCTCACCACCTGTTTCTCTGTTGGATTACCAATAAATAACGTGGGCTCCCAGAGCTCAGGGCCTTTGCAGCCTCCACAGACACGATGGCCCCCTGGTGCCCACTTTAATTCTCAAACTGTCTTTTTCTCAATCCTTTGACTCCGACAGACTTTGTCACCCCCATGACCTGGTGTTGGGTCTGATCACCCCAATAAGAAAACCCCATTGTCTCAGGCCAAAATCTCCTTAAGCTGATGAGCAACTTCAGCAAAGTCTAAGGATAAAAAATAAATATACAAAACCCACAAGCATTCCTGGAATACACACAAGTAATAGACAAATAGCCAAATTATGAGTGAACTCCCATTCACAATTGCTACAAAAAGAATAAAATACCTAGGAATCCAACTCACAAGGGATGTGAAGGACCCCTTCAAGGAGAACTACAAACCTCTGCTCAACAAAATAAGAGAGGACACAAACAAAAGGAAAAACATTCCATGCTCATAGATAGGAGAATCAATATCATGAAAATGGTGATACTGCCCAAAGTAATTTACAGATTCAATATATGTACATATTTTTAATAGGACATTGAATTTTTTTTAAAAAAAGGAAACCCCAAACTAGTATATAATATCAATTACTTATGTGATATTTATACATAAGTGTTGAATAGCTTATTAAAATATAATAAAGTCAAATTTACAATAAGTGAAGAAAATTATTTTTAAAACAAATTCTATAACAAAATAATTCCAAAAGACAAATTATTTTAATATTTTGCACATTTCCTTATTGTTTCCCCACCTCATCCAAATTGTTAGCCATCTATGTTTCCTAATATCTGATTCTTGGAGTACTTGGTTTGAAATTTGTAGCCATAACTTCTTTTCTCTTCTAATTTATATCTAGGTGAATTCTGTGTAAACATCAAAAACATATTTAAAAAGAAAGAGTATTTGTAGAACAAATAGAAAAATAATTCACAATGATAATCCTCCATAGATAAAGCAGCCTAATTTTAGTTCAAACTGGGAATCTATTTGCAAATCAAATGTCACAAATTATAAGATTTGTAAATACTCTCGTCATATATTCTTATACTAAAGGGAATTTCTAAATGAAAAATTTATACTTATAGTGATTTTGAATTAGTTAGCAGTACACACGATATTATATAATTATTTCTTACTGAATACAAAATGCTAATGTACCTACTTGAAGGGCATACATAAATCCCAGTAGTTCATCTCTAAAATCATCTATAATATGCTCACTTTTAATTGTAAATTATTAGTTTAAATGTTACTTTCTACAGTAGATTTAAATTCCCACTTGTTATCTATAATTGTTATCATAGAAGACTTCTGTTTTACATATGAATCTCATTTTTTATTATGGTCTTTACTATATTACACTAACATAGTAAATATTGCTTTTAATAAAATATATCGTGACGTGGTCATCTTACATTTAAAATATTGTAATGATAGTTTAAAAATGACATAAATAAGATCTATTCAGTTGATTATAAAATAAATTCAAGATTTTATCACATGTACCTCAATTTATGGATACAATCTAAATTGTTTCTAGAATGTTTCTTGGTCAATTATACCTAATAATTTTACTTATATCATTTAACACTTCTATACTACCCTAAAAGATTTTCATATAATCAGTGAAAATTAGTGGTGATATTTAAAGGTTATGCTGAGTTATATAAACTATATTTTTTAAATTAAAGCTTCAAATAGGCAAAATAAATTGGTAACATAATTTGTTTTGTATTTTCTTGTTTCAACTATATATATTTATGAAAATAACATTAACAATTCCCCATGGAATATATGCAGTATCCTTAATAATTCAAAGTGTGTCTAGCAAAAGTAAGTTCTATACAAGTGTCTATTAAATATTAAATTCAATGAATGCATTTCTATACTTTCTGTTGTTGTAAAATAATATGTACTAGCTATGGGCACTGATTCAAAAGAAGTAAAAGCTGAACTAGGAAAAGGTTTTTTGTTGATAAATCTTAATGGCTAATCTGTAGAGAGCTTTGAATAGGTTCTGATGGTGTATAAGGTTGAAATAGACTCCACACTCTTAGAATGTAAACTCTAGAAATGAAAATTATGCTCATATGCAAGTCATTGTATAACACAATATTAAATATAAGGTTAATGGTACAAGAACAAATGTTATTATGTGGTTTTAGAAGAAGATTTCCTTCCAGCTGTGTAAATTAGAAAATGATTTGACCTCAGGCTTTCATAAACATAAAATAGACAAGTGGAGTAACTCAAGTAGTGTACGGTGAACAATTTAATTGGCTTGTAGTTGGAAGCAAAATAAAGCAGAGATTATGTAGCAAAAAAAATTAGGTCAGACAAGATGGGAAAAGTCGTCTTGAGGACACATAATCCTGGGGCTTATATTAAAATTAAGTTAATTTCATTTGGTATATAATGAAGCCATTTAAAAAGATTTTATGTAAAATGTAACAATTTTTATGGCTTTGGGAATATTAATCTGGCAGCATTTTGTCATCCAAATGGAACAAGAGGCGAGAAGTCTATTGAAGTTTAATGCAATAGTTCAGGGAAGAGGCAGTTTAAGTACACTTGAAATAAAGTGATGCCAGTAGGACTGCAGAAAAAGAAAAGAGGATAGTGAGTACAAAAGTGTTAATAAAAGACACAAGAATTAGAGGCAAAGAAGAAGGTTTAAAAGAGCCATGACTTCATTCTAGAAATGTTGTATGGAGGTGCCACAAAAATATCCAGATCCAGTACTGAGCAGTAGTGTGGAAATGCTGAACACTAATCAGGCAAATGGTCGAACATCTACACCTGTTGTTAAAATTTTATTTTTGTCAATTACCGAATCAGAACTTGAAAAAGTAAAGATTTTAACTATCTACATTGGAAGTCCCTGAGATGCTTACTAAAATGTGGATTTCAAAGCCATCCCCTAAACTACTAAATCAAAACATGTGATTAAATTCACTAACCTTATAACCTTATTTTATTTCTTCATACTGGTGCTATCATTAAATTCTACATATTAATTTTGGGCTAAAATATAGATGTCTTTTATAATAATGAATAAAAATTATAACAGTAAAGATGTATTTTTGAACACATCATTTAACCCTGATGTTTCAAGAGAACTTTACTATAGGTTAATTTAGTCACAGTAATACATAGGACCACGTAATAGTTAAATTATTTTAAATGGCAATGGAAATTTGTGGATTAATAGATACAAGGATAGCATCTTCATCTGTAATTGCTTACCTGTAGTCAATGTTATTAATGACTAATTTGGATTTTAAAACAAAAATATACAAATAATTAGCTTGTACTCTTATCTGTTCCAATACCCTTCTTTCAATATATATTTTCCTCATATTTTAATAAATTTATTTTCTGTTTTGATTAAATTATAAGCTCATTGAAGTCATAGTACACTCATTTTATATTTCTATCATATACTACATGGATTTAAAGTTGTGTAGAACCATCAAAACTGTTGTGAAACTCTTTAGCGTATTAAAATAGTTTTAATGAAACTTTATTAAATTGAGAAGCATCTATAAATAAAAACTACAGGCAAAGATTCTAGAAAAGAGTTATGTTTTTTCCTTGGTTAGTTTCTCAACAATTTACATATTATTTTAGATAAAGAATGTAATAAATGTGAGGGAATTTGGAGAAATGTAATTACCTGTATTGGGGACATAATATTTCTGTCTTTACATGCCTTCATGAACAGACAATTTTGTGTAAGACAGTCTGAAAGTGGACCTATTAAAATTAAGTTTAATCGTTTTACATAGAGGTAGAATAAAAAGACAAGGTATGAAGATATAGGAGACAAGACTAAACCTATTACAATTATAAACTATTTGAGTAGCCAGCATTTTTTAATAGCATTGATAAAGTGATTGTGGACCAGATCACTAGATACTGAATAACATGACCATAGTATGTTCATATAGGTGTAGTTCAACAAAGCGGGCCCCAAGGCCTAGAGACCTATTTTGCTGAGAACCGTACCAGATCACGCTGAACTTGTTTTAGTACTGATGTAATAAAGAGAAACTTGATGGGATTGAAGAGCAACTTGTAGGGATTTTTTAAGGAGAAAATTAGCTATGCCAGAGTGCATGTAGGCAGAATCAGAAACATAATGAATCTGGAAAGATGTTTGCCATATGGAGATAAAAAAAAAATGACATTTTCCTAAAAATAGAATTTATGTACCAATCTAGATCCAGATCTGGAATTAGTTGAATCATACAGATTTCAATCTTCAAAAGAACATAAAAATTCAATTGGATATAATATTTTCAAATTAAGTCAAGAAAAATCTCCTTAAAATGTATCTTTGAAAGAAATAGAACATGGACTTCCTGATAATAAGAGTTGTTGGGTCATTCTGTGTCAGAATATAGACGAATCTCTAAAGAAATAATTTGTTATTTAAATAGCTGGGCGTGGTGGCAGGCGCCTGTAATCCCAGCTACTCAGGAGGCTGAGGCGGGAGAATGGCGTGAACCCAGGAGGAGGAGCTTGCAGTGAGCCGAAACGCGCCACTGCACTCCAGCCTGGGCGACAGAGCGAGACTCTGTCTCCAAAAAAAAAAAAATAATAATAATAATAATAATAATAATAATAATAATTTGTTATTTATTTTTAAATATTCTTATGAAATATATGTTTAAAAACTACCACTTTAAATGGAAGTTTGCAACTGTCCCCTGATTAAGTTCCAGGTTTTCTTAGTTAAAATGCTCATAGAGCTACAAAGCTAGACTACAAATCACAAAAGTGTGCAAAATGTAAAATGTCAAGCAGTGTAAGAAATATGTGCTAATGTTAATGCTAATACAATAGAAATAAGAAAAAAATTAGACGTCGCGTCTTAAAGATTGCCAGTCATTGAACCAAAGCACAGACCATGTGATAAAAAAGAAATTCACTTCTGACTCAGAGACTTGGTATTCAAAATAATCAGAACAATTCTTTGTCACCTTTCTCCTTAGACAGCTTGTTTTTACTTCCTCCAAGACATAGCCCTCCCTCTCAAGCTGGTGGATGCCTCAGTGGTAACTGTATACTGTCAGTTAAAGTCTACAGATGGCAGCATGTTTGAAGTTGTGGCTTTGTGTGTACTTCATAGTATTACAAAATGTAGTTGAAGAGGAAAGTGTGACTTGAGAAGATATGGTCTAGATGAATAACTCCTGTAAACTGCATTCTGACTTATAAGTTTATCCAAATGTATTTCAGCTATAGATCTTAACACATAAGTTGACTTTTATGCAAATTAATGGAAAACAAAGTCAGTGTCCACTCACACATCATTTCTAGTGACAAACATAGACCATATTTAGATCTCATTTTGCTTAAAGATGAAAAATGAAATAAAAACTGTAGAATCTGAAACCTATCAAAGAAATGTAAACAAGTGAGTGAACATGATTGTGAAAACTCAGTTTACGAGATCTTCAATACAATATAGAAAAAAATGGAAGGAAAGTATTTAATAACCTCAGAAGAGTATGTGAATATATGGCCTCACAATCCTTATCAAAATCTCAACAGCACTTTTTTGGGATACAGGAAAATTCATATGGAATCCCAAGGGACCCTGAATAGCCCCCAAAATTTGAGGAAAACGAAGTTGGACTCACGCTTCCTAATTTTGAAAGGTACTGTAAAGCTTTAGTAATCAAAATAATGTGGTACATGGCATAAAGATAGACAAACAGATCAATGGAAAAGAGTAAAGCGTCCAGAAATAAATCCTCGCATATACGGTCAAATGACCTTCAACAAGTGCAAAACCATTCAATGGGGAAAGGACAACAATTGGTGTTAATAAAACTGCCTATTCATATGCAAAAGAATGAAGTTGGACCCTTATCTTACACCATACAAAAATTAAACTGGATTAAAGAATTAAATCTAAGACTTGAAACTATAAAACTTCTAAAGAAAGTATAGAGGAATATCGAACTTGGCAACATTTTTTTTTGGATATGACACCAAAAGCAAAGTCAACAAAAACAAAAATAGCCAATTGTGACTACATGAAACTTCAACACTTTTGTGCATGAAAGGACATAATCAACAGACTGGAAAAGCAACATAAGGTATGGGAGAAAATATTTGCAAATTGTATTGTGGATAATTGGTAAGTTCAGAATGTATGAAAAATTCTTACAGCTTAACGACAAAAATTTAGATAACCCAATTAAAACATGGATAAAGGATTTAAATAGACATTTCCTCAAGATAATACACAATGGCCAACAAGCATATGAAAAGATGCACAATGTCACTAATCAGAGAAATACAAATGAAAACCACAATGAGATATCACCTTACACCCATGAGGATGACTACTATTAAAAAAATGAAACCATAAAAAAAAAACAAGAAATAAGTATTGGCTAAGATAAGGAAAATTTGGAACCATGCACACTTTTGATAGGATTGTAAAATGGTGCAACTAAAATGGAAAACAGTATGGAAGTTCCTCAGAAAAGTTTGAACTGTCACATTATCTAATAATCTCACTCCTGAGTAAATATCCAAAATAATTAGAAGCAGGGTCTCAAAGAGATATTTGCAAATGCATGTTCATAGCAGCAGTGTTCACAATTGTCAAGAGGCTGAAGCAACTGAAATGTCCACTGACTAAACAAAGTATTCTATGCACATACAATGGAATATTATTCATCTTAAACAGGAAGAAAATACTGTCACATGTTACAACATGGATGTACCTTGAAGATATTAGGCTAAGTGAAACCAACCTGTCACACACATACACACAAAAATAAATACTGTGTAGTTCTATTTATATAAGGTATCAAAAGTAGTCAAATTCATAGAAACAGGTTACCAAGGGCTAGAGGGAGAAAAAAAAGGGAGAATTGTTTAATGGGTATAAAGTTTCAGTTTTGTAAGATAAAAATGTTTTGGAGATCTGCTTCAAAACAATAAGAATATACATAATACTATGAGCTTAAAAATGGTTGTGATTGTAAATTTGATGTCATGTGTTTTTACCACAATATAAAGAAAGGAAAAGAAAATCTGGCAAAAGAAGATAAGGAGCTATGTTAGGCCATTTTGCATTGCTTTAAAGAAATACCTGAGACTGGATAATTTATAAAGAAAAGAGGCTTAATTGACTCACAGTTCTGCAGGCTTTATAGGAAGCATGATGCTAGCATCTGCTTGGTTTTAGGGAGATCTCAGGAAGTCTAGGAATCATGCTGGAAGATGAAGGGGAAGCAGGCATATCGCAACGTGAAAACACAGAGAGAGAGAAAGAGAGAGAGAGAGAGAGATAGGTGGGGAGGTGGAAAGGTGTACCTCACGCTTTTAAATGACCAGACTTCGTGAGAACTCACAGTCATGAAGACAGCACCAAGCGATGAGGGACTCACCTCCATGATCCAAACACCTCCCACCAGTCTCCACCTTCAGGGTTGGGGATTAAAATTCAACATGAGATTTGGGTGGGGACAAATATCCAAACTATATCAGCAGCCAACAAACTACAATATATGTAGAATAACTTGAGATTATGGAAAACTGGGGATTTAAGACATGTTTACAAGAAACCTAAAAAATACAAAACACAAACCCTCACATTAGAGAAAGTAAATGCAGGATTTATATCGTAAAAAGTGGTTTCAGACATGGGAAAAGATGGAGTGAGAAAAAGCCTTCCCAGAATACAGATGAAAAGGTCAAAGAGATTTCTAAGGTTAAATCAAAAAGACAACACAATAGAGGACAGAAAATAGAGACGCAGCCTTCCAAAACTAATATTAACAAAGAAAAAAGTAGGAAATAAGGGAAAAGCAGAAGCAAATAAGAAAGCTTTAGTGAAATAACACTTCCCTGTGATAAAGACCAGTAGGTGTACATTGAAAAATGGGAATGCATTATAGATAAATAAAGAGGATTATAGCTTAGAAATAACTACAAACTATTCTCACAATATTTTAATTTTTAAAGCCCTGTAGCAAACCTGAAAATATATAAAACCTGGAATCTCAAACATATTCTTTTGTACTCTACTGGATATATAAAACAAAAATTATATTTTAAGTATTTTATATCTGCTCAGATTGTTCTCCTATGTAAAGGTTATATGGAAGTCTTCATGAACATGCAATTGTCCGGTCAATGTTGCATTTATACAGCTCTTCCTGAAAAACATTTCTTGAGCATTTCAAATAATTCTTGAATTTTAGAATATACCAAAGTTTGGACTTCCTCTCACACATCATTCAGGCCATAATTTAAGTCTTCTTGTTCTTGATAAAGTGAAAACTGCAGAACTCTTAGAGATAAAAATTTGTCTCTATTTTCCCATTGGTTTCATGTATTATCAAGTTCAAGGCCAGGAAATGGACAGGTGCCCCCCTCCCTGCTTCAAGCCCTATGCCTGAAGATAGACTTATCCAATCATCAGTCTTAATCCAAAAAGTTTGCCTTGTTTAGTTGGAAGAAAAGGGCCCAGGACAAAGGAATTTGTCTCTGGGCTACAGTTGAGTTTTGGAAGGACATATTATGGAACTATTTCCAAGTAAGTCCTGCAGGGTGAGGGCTGGGAAGAGGGAGTGCCATTCTGTCATCTTTTCTAACTTCCTTGGAGGTTAGTCTATGGTAGCATTCCATCCCAATTCTCTCATACCCACAAGGCACAAAAGGTGGTGTCTTTCTATTATTTTATGAAAGTATACATTTTAAAAGGCTAGTATGATTTTAACGTAAAGGAGGATTATAAAAGAGATTTGCAGGCATGACGTAGTCCTACTCTAATTACAGAACAGAGGCTTATATTTTGATAAGACCCCAGAGACATTTTGTATCTTAAGACAAGTGACAGTGATTTAATCTGTTTCTGTATTCTGCTTTCCTAGAAAAAGAAAAAAATGGCATTTTTACTGATGTAAGGAATGTGAGCTCATTTGGGATTTTTTTTTTCATAAGGGATTTTATTAACTACAAGGAATCACACAAAATGAAAGAACAATTAATGTAAAAGATATAAAGAAGAAGCAGTGGGTGGAAAGCCAGCTAATCAGAGAAGTCTAAATACCAAAGCCTTTTAAACAGTTTTATGAAGGTATCATCCACTTACCAGAAAATTCTATTTAATCATACAAGTCAATAAATTTTGGTAAATTTGCACAGTTGTCCAACAATCACCATAGTCCAGCTGTAGAACATTTCCACTCATTATAAAAAATATCCTTCAGACTCATTTGCAATCATTGCCAATTTCCATGCACAGCACCAGCACCCACTAATTTCTTTTTAGTGGAAAGGTTTGCCTTTCCTGGAAAAAAAAATTCCGAAAATGAATACAGTTACATTTTAAGAAATATTTTAGACACATGTGAACTGAACCTCATATGCCTATTGCCCTAGACTCCAAATATCTGAGCTTTCCTGAGAAGCAGCCCTGCCTATGTTTCCAGAAAACAACAACAACGAAACAGTTTTCAAGCATGCTAACTTGCTGTTGCAAAGGCCCAGCCTCATTTGTTGTTGCTTAGAATATTCTTACTCCAAGCACTATTCTACGAAGAGCCTGGCTAGACGCAGTTGCTCACGCCTGTGATCCCAGCAGTTTGGGAGGCCCAGGCGGGTGGATCATTTGAAGTCAGGAATTCAAGACCAGCCTAGCCAACATGGTGAATCCCCCTCTCTACTAAAAATACAAAAACTTAGCCGAGCGTTGTGGCGTGCCTGTAATCCCAGCTACTCAGGAGGCTGAGGCAGGAGAATTGCTTAAACTCAGGAGGTGGAGGTTGCAGCGAGCCGAAATCGCACCACTGCACTCCAGCCTGGGTGACAGAGCGAGACTCCATCACAAAAAAAAAAAAAAAGATCTTTATTTCTCCAATATTCCTGTGCTGATTATTAGACCTGGGTTCAATGCCACAAAGACCTCTTGTACACACCTGTTTTTCCACAGTTGTTGATACTCGTTTAACTCTGCTTGTACTTTTTTTGTTGTTCATTAATTTTGATCTTTCCCATGATCTTAAGGCATCACTTTAAGAGAAATTCTGCATTGAGTGGAATCACAAAGTAAGAGACTGGGTCTCTGTTTCTTATGGATACACATCTTAAATGTCAAATGCTCACTTTCATAACAGAATAGTCATTTATTGCCCAACACAGAAATTTTGCCCCTGATTGTAATTCTGATACCTCATTTTAGCCTTCCTGGTGCTAGGCATTGTAATGAATCATGTATGAAAAATTCTCATCCTCAGTGTACTATTTTGCCTAATCAATGTCAACATCTGCATTTATTCCTTCAGAACTAGTAGGCAGATCTCATGTCTGGCTCCAAGCTTGTCTCCTGCCCTGACTTCTAACATTGCCATAAAGTCAAATTTCTGTGTCTAAACTCATCCAAGAAATGCCAAGGGAGTTTAGTTATACTTTTGTAGAATGAGGAGAGGCAAATAATCTGTATCCTCACTTAAATGAACCCCACATTTTTATTTGATTTCAATGAATCAGCTGGTAAAGAAGTTGGGGTGATTCAAAAGCCACCTGCAAGAGACATGGTGAGTCAAACAAGAAATTATGGCATTTTCCACATATAAGAAAGAGTACCCTAAAAAAATGGATATCTTTTTGTTCTGTCTGAAGGCAGAGAAATATACAAGCTGTTAATCCAGCATTACCTGGGAGTTCAATGACAGGATGACACAGTTAGAAAGAGATCTATGAAGAACATTATCTGTTTCTCTCTCTGTCCCTCTTGATTTTTTCTTCTCCTTAGTTAAGTTGCAAGTCATCAGATCCTGAAGTTTCATGAAATAAATATCATCTGCTAAGTCAAAATTGCTCTTAAGAACATCTGGTACCAGCATGACTAGTTGTTTTGAGGCCATTAAGAGTTCAGGCAAATCAAAACTTGAAATATTTTCTCCTTCATTCTGAATTTTTTAAGAAAGATTTAGGCTATAAGTGATTATTAAGAGTTGAATTTTTTCTAATCATGCTTCATAATATAACATTCTGTAATAATTTTTCCTCATTGCTGTAAGACGTAATTGTTCCTTAAGAGAAGAATCACATCAGGAGAGATGCAGCAAGATTTAAAGAAAAACCATGGCTTTAGAATCGAACATAGATTTGATTTCCAGTTGTGTTTGCTATGCATTTGAACTTTTAAATAAAAATGAACAAACAAAAACATAATAGCTTTATCTAAATATCTATTTTTTTGCTATAAAGGGTCTATTCACTGGTTTTAATCTTAAAAAAAAATTATAACGTGGATGTTCCAGTTCTACTTTCCCACCTGAAATTCAAAAGTTGCTTAAATACCAGAGATGCATTTGGACCTAAATCTACATGACTCCAAAATACATTTTACTTTCATGTTAGCGATATTTTGATTAATTGAAATTATAGTGAAGATTTACATAACAAAGGAAAGTACACAAACCATAAATATAAAGTTCAATGGATTTTATACACTGAACACATTTGTGTACCCAAAATTCAAATCAAGGAATAAAAAATCATCTACCTCCCAGAAACATTCCTTCCCATCAATACCTCTTCCAAAATAATCACTATGCTACCTCAAAAGCACAACTTAGTTTTATCTGTTTAAAATGTATAGAAATGGAATCCTATGGCATAAAATCATTTGTCTGCCTTCTTTAGTGCAGCGTCATGTTTCTGTTGTTTTTAATATTATAATTAAGTCAGTGAAGATTTTTATGCATGAATTTTGGTGAATATTTGTAGAACACCCGATCCTGTCGCTGTTTGGGGTGCCACTATGCCGCGAACCTGTTGGACTGAACAAAGCGGGGTGAACACGTGAATAAAGACAAGAGACAAAAGAGTATATTTGGAAGAAGAGGTCGGGGGCACCTTCCTCTAGTGGACAAGGGCTCTGAGCTTTACACAGCCCTCCGTATTTATTAGGCAAAAGAGACAGTGAGAAGGTGGGGGTGGTGAAAGAAGGGGTCAGCTGCTCAGTCCAGAGTAGGCTTGCAAGACTGTATTCTCTAGATGTCGCAGTAGATATCCTCGGCGCCAGGCAGTGATTGCCTCCAGCAAACCTTCTGTTGGCAGGAGCAGTCATGAGTTTGCTCAAATCCTGCATTCATGATAAACAGATTGCTGTTTGATCATACAGCCTCCAGTGGAATGCTGAGTTGGTCACGTCCCATGGGCCTTCGGTTCCCTGCAAATATTAGTATATGTTTCTGTTGTATATAACCTAGGAATAGAATTGTGGATTGAAGAGTATACCAATATTCAAATTTAATAGATAATGGATCCCCCCAAAAAAGTTTCCAAAGTATTTTTTGGGTGTGAGTTTTAGTTTCAGCTTTATGTCCTACCACATCCGGATTCTCCCTTTTACCTCTGCGGAGACACTTTACTTTTCTGAATAGTAATTTTCACATCTGACAATAAGAATAGCCTTCAGTATTGATGTGGGAATTAAATACCGTGGCATATTAAGAATCATTCATATTTGGTCCATTGGAACTATTTGAGCATTATTAGTAACTTAACCATTTGGATTTTCTCCTTTGTCTGTTTTGCATAAAACATCATCAGTTATTTCAAATATTCTATCTGTTGCTATTAATTCTAATTCCTCAAAAACTCATATACTTAACATTTCAGGAGACTATTTACATTTTAAGAAAAAAATATGTAAAATGTGTATGAAAATGTCTTATATTTGTCATATTATAAAGAGGTCAACATAATACTAAAATAGTAAACGCACCATTTAAAATCTAGAGAACCAATTTCAAATAGCATTATATTACACTTACTGGCTCAGAGTGGTAACCAAAACACAGTCCTTGCTTCCACTAAGCTTTCACTAAGCTCATATTATAGGTATATAAATAATTACCAAGTCACTTCTTTCTTCTCTTTATTGCTCTGGGATAGTACTCAGTTCTAGAACTATCACTAAATTAATTTGAAATAGGCGTTGTGGCGACTCCCAACTTAAAAAGAGGCATACTTTGGTATAGAAAATGGAGAGAAACACAGTTTAAGAAGCTGAGAATTCTATTTAGCTCAATAAATATTAATTGGGCAATAAGCTGAGAATTCTGACTGCATAAAAATATGAAAACATGATTCTTTTATCAATAAATTCATATTTTTTTGAGATAGGGTCTCACTCTGTCACCTAGGATAGAGTGCAATCGCACGATCTCAGCTCACTGAACTCTTGGCTCACTAGCTGAGGCTCAAGCGATCCTCCTGCTTCAGCCTCACCATCATCCCCAAATTGAAAAGCTGCACTATGGGTATACACGTGATAGAGAATCATGCCTAACTGCGGGGTTTTGTTTTGTTTTGTTTTAGCTTCCTGTTTATTTGTTTTCTGATGAACAATATAACGCTTTTAAATTTAAATGAAAAAGATACTGGCCTAATGATTAAGTGATATTCTAAAGCTACTAGAACAATACAACAAATCATGAAATTTTCAGTTTTTAGAAGGCAGTTCTTAATGATAAATACAAAGAACAATATTGTACAGTCTTTGTCTGTAAAATAAAAAGAAACTGTTTATGATAGAAATGCTTTTAAACTGTTTTAGTCAAACTCAAATAAAAGGACTTAAAAAATAAAACGTGAACTCAAAAGAGTTTACCAGAATACTGAGCTCTTTTTGATATTCATAGAAATCAACAATGTCCATTAGTACAGAATAAAAAACATAAAACAAATCAGTGTAAAAAAAAACACCCTGCATTAGTGGAACATTAAAGTTGTGATTTAAACCCACAAAAGTCAGGAAATTCAGAATTAGAACTCCCAAGGTAACCTTAACTGTGACCTCTTGTGCATGTACACTGTTTAGAAAATTGAGAGTTTTGCCTTCCTGATCACATATCACTATAAAGAACAGTTCTGAAGGAAAAAAAGTACAACATTTTTTTAGAACCATTCTATATGTTTAAAAATTTATACCTACTTACAAAATCAAACCATCAATCTTATATGACCATATGAGCTAATTATGGGATAGGAAAGAATTTTAAATATATACTATAGAAAGCTGTAGAAGCTACAACATAATGCACGTATATGTGAAACATATGAATTTGTGCTTTCTTTTAAATATAGCCGCAAGTGCCTGCCATATAAAAATATTCATATTGCAAAATGATGGTAGGGGATATTGTCAAAATGGAATAACATTTAAGAAAGAATGATCAAGAGAAATAATTGATCTGAGAGCCAAAAATATCATTTTTCATATTTATGAATCTATAGTTTCCTAGAGAAGATATTTTATCTCTACAACTATGACTTCTTCATTTGTAAAATGAGAAGATTGAGGTAAGTGACATCTTACTGTCTTCTAACTTCAAAAATAGTACAATTCTGTGACTTCACATAAATTTATATTCTAGAGGAGAATCAGAAAACTGAGATCATATTATTCCTAAGTAACTTGTATCAGAGAAGCTTAGTGAGAAATAGATGGTCAGCCAAGAAAAAAAAAAAAATGTGATGTAAATAACTACTGGGCTTCTCTTCAAGAAGATTAGCCCATCTCACTAATACTGACCTTTATTTCAGAATTTTTAGTCCAAAATGTTAACTCATCCATCCAAAGATTAGCCTAGTCTCTGTGACTGGGGGTAGGGTAGATGTCTTTTACTAAATTGGAAAACATTCATCAGGCCCCCAAAATCTGTTTTTCTCAATACCATGAAATTAGACCAAGCATAGCTATGAAGAAAGATATTAGAGTAAAAGAACCATACTAGTGTCACCATGGTATACAGTTCTTTCAAGGAAAGACACCAAAAACAGTTTCTAGACCTCCTTGACTTTACTATAGGGCTTAGCCTGATGCTGAATCAGATGCTCATTAACTAAACAATAAATTTCTGAAAGCAAGCAACAACAACAAAATTCCAGGACATTGAGTTCTATATAGATCAAAGGAAGCAATTATGCTTTGTTTTTAATTGTGTGTGTTTAAACTTTTGTTGAGGTGTTAAAAACTTTCTAGTTTCAAGCAACATAGAATAACACAGATCAACAAAAGGATGCTGTCTCAGGGCAACTCAAGTCTAATAGCCATCTGTGAAGTTGGAACTTCGTGCCCAAGTATTGCTTTCACCAAAGAGTATAACGTCATTTTCAAGAAAACCAAAAAGACTCTGGATTTTTTGTGGTTAGATAAGAATTTCTAAAGTCACTTACGAAATCCTGGAGATAGAGGATTGTATGGCCAATTTACGTGAAGAAATTTAATGTATTTGACTCACTGGTGAATGTACGATAAAGAAAATAACATTAAAATGTTACCTTTGTAAATGTAATGTCATTTACAAAATCCAAGCAACCCTTTTATTATAGGTGTCATAGATTTAATTTCTGACAATTTGTTTTACTATCTGTCTTATATGCAGCTGGATAAATTGAGACAATAGCAACAGTGCCTAGAACATAGCTTCTTCTTATTGAAAAAGGTTAAAGTGAGCTCTGAGAAAATTAAAGTGTTCTATATATAAAAAAACATACTTTTCACGATTTTTATGTTTACATATTCTCCTGCAAATATTGCCAATAGGGATATATTTATTTTATGGTTGAAACAGTAATAAAACCAAATCATTGCAGAGTCCACTTTTTAATAGAACTTTAAATCACCATATTTATATGTCACAAAATATTTTCATCATTGTTTTATAGGCAGCATAATATGCTATCCAGTTAATGCACCATAATTTACTTAATTTCCTTATTGTAAGACACTTTAGCTATTAGAGAATATACCCAGGGAATAACTATGTGCATGTTGCTTTTTTCCCCTTCCTTGACAAATTTCCAACATGAAATATTTATGACTTAATACATAGAGTGACATTGTAACTAGTTGAAGGTTGAGGAAAGGAGTGTTTAAAAATTAGACTGCAGTCTTAAGAGAAGTGACTGTCAATGATAAATTGTCTACTGAGATAGCACGACAGAAATCTTGTCTCCTTATGGTATGTAGAACTTTAAAAGTAGGCTGCCATAGACATGGATATCTATTCAGTACCCCAAACCAGTTGTTGCTGAAAGAGTAACAGCGATATTTTAGATTTAAATAGCCATTCAGAGTCACAAAATACTTTTAAGTACCTACTCAAGCATTTTTATTACCTTAACTTTCAGATTATAATATTAGGGTACAAACTCTGATACACTCACACTAAAACAAAAAACGGGATGCTATAAATATTAGCAGGATAAGCACTGATATTTTTAGAGTGCTCACGTTGCTTTGTGTAGGTAATAGAATTATCTAAGAGCTATTGTTTCATTATGCAAAACAAGTATTCCTACTCTGAAATATCACTGCAGTTGAGGCTAATACCATTTTAACAAATACCCTTCCACTAGCTTGAATGCTTGAGTACTTTCCTTCTCTTTCCTAACACAGTTACTTTTCTCCATGGCGACGTCTACCCTTTTATTAACTTTTTTCCTCCTAGTCACTCCTCAGCACTTATGGTCTGGTTGCTGACCCTACCACTTGACTGAAACCTCTCTGACAATAAGTAGCAATAACCTGTGTGTGATGAAATCTAATGAACACTTTCCCATATCTATTTTATTTGACCCCCCGCCACATTTGATATTTTTGATTACTTGCTCTAAAAAAATGTATTTGCCCTTTGCTTCCATGTAAAAAATCTGTCCCCATTGTCCTATAACTTGGCTCTCTCTCTCTCTCTCACACACACACACACACATTCATACACATGTACACACACCACACATATACACTTTTGGCCATCTTTTCAGGTTGAAGCTCCCCAGGATACTGTTCTACCCTATTATCTTATCACTGTACATTTTACCTGCTGCTTATTCATTCTCATTACTTAAAAATTAACTGATATACACTGATTCTATAATTTAGATTTCCTGCTCAAACCTAAGAATAGAATAATAGATATATCATAAAGCCAATTTTCTCTCTACATGAATAGTTTAGTCCTGTTTAAAACTGGACCAATTGCCTCATCCCAAGACCTGCTATCCTGATTTCAATACTTGTTCTAATGAAAGACAACAGTACCTCCTTGATCAGCCAGAATCATGTTATCTTCACCACCACTGCCACCTCCACGTTTTTCCCACCTTATGCATCCATTTAATTATTGCTCACCCTCTAAATATCTCTGTAATCTATTTTTTTCCACTACACGACCTCTGCTATTGGTCCATAATGTCTTCTTTTTAAAACTGTTAAAAGTATCCTCCTAATTCATATTATGATATAACACTTGTCCTCTAATCCTGTCTCTTTCCAGATTCCCTCCCCCCGCCCTTTCAACAAAGGGAATTTTCTAAAACACATTGGAGTTAGTTACTTCCCTGTTTGATCCATTGAACTTCAGTCACCTGCAGAAAAGAGTCTATACTCCACAGCGTTCATGCACATTTTCATTCAGCCACTCATTCATTCATACATCCACTCGTTACTATGTCTCAGAAGCCAAGAGGATGTGGAACTCCCAGTCTCATGAACCTTAGTCAATAATGAACGACTTAACTTTAATAAGCAATGGCACATGGAAGGAACTTAGAAACAGAGAACCCAGCAATGCTTTGGGGTCAGCCAAAGGCTCTGTGATCAAATGTAATTCAAAGTTGCAAAATGTAATGTCAAAGCTGCATGTGGATTTCCCTGCTAAATGTGAGGAGAATGGAGGCAGGGAGGCATGGAGGCATGAACTGGACGATTGTTCCAAATAGAGGGAACAGAGTAAACAAGGCTCTGGGGCAAAAGAGAATACATAGATTTACAAAAACCTGATAGCGGTGGAGGGGACAAAAGTTGAGAGAGAATAAGTACAGATGGAATTTAGGAAGAATACTGACATAAGAGCTTGGCGGACCCTACTGTTACTCTTAAAAATATGACAGACCACATTTGCATTTTAGGAGACGTAAGCAAGAACCAAACAAAGAGACAAAACAAGCTCTCTGGCTGCAGAGTAGTATTGCAAGGACCTTCATGACCAAGATCCTGCTTATAGGCCCCACCTTGCTTCATCCCTTCCTCTCACCCACAGTGGCTCTTCTCCACCCCGAATATCCCCAACAGAAGTAACGTGGCCGTTTCCTAGTGTCTGCTCTTTCGTCTGTCCAGGTCTACGCACATGCTTTTCTTAGTTCCTTTTTTTTTTTTTAGATCTGAGTCTCGCTCTGTCGCCTAGGCTGGAGTGCAGCGGCGCAATCTCAGCTCACTGCAAGCTCCGCCTCCCAGGTTCAGGCCATTTTCCTGCCTCAGCCTCCGGAGTAGCTGGGACTTCAGGCGCCCGCCACCACGCCCGGCTAATTTTGGGTTTTTGTATTTTTAGTAGAGACGGGGTTTCACTGTGTTAGCCAGGACGGTCTCGATCTCCTGACCTCATGATCCGCCCACCTCAGCCTCCTAAAGTGCTGGGATTACAGGCGTGAGCCACAGCGCCCGGCCGCTTTTCTTAGTTCTTAAAATCTGCTTCCCCTTTCCTCAAGCCATCAAAATCCTCATCTTGTACAACCAGTTCTAGCATTTTGTCTTCTGTAAAGCCATATTTGATTCTGCTCTCTTTTGTGTTTTTACGATCTCATGAACACATTTATTTGAAGATGCATATCCACTTTTTGAGTTCCCGTCCCTACACTAGAATTATAGTACCTAAAATCACTGGATGCGTTTTTAACTCTTTATTCACTATGTCTAGCACAGTGTCTGGCACTTGATGAAAAACAGGGAAGGAAGGAAGGCAAAAAAGAGAAAGCGAATGAGGGTGGGGAGGAGAGAGAGTTTATTTGATCAGTATATGTTATTTTCCTGCTATTTCTATTACTAGAGTAAAATGCCAAAGTGGGGGAAAAAACTTCCTATGAAGTAAGTCATCTTCTCTACAAAATTCTTGACAGATGGCCATGCAGACTTTGCTTGAACATTCAGTGACTTGTGGCTCATTTTTTTCTAAACTAAACCAGTATTTAAAATGTTGAATTTTTAGAGCTGATGTTTGCCTTGTAACTTTTATTCATTGTACCAAGTTGTTCTCCCTGGAGACGTGAAAGTCATGGAAGAAACCATCTCTATGTACTTTATGCTATGTTATTGAACTTATTCCCCTGGACAGTTACAGTTTGACAATGCCCAGAATAAAATATAACGCTTATTAAACAACAGCATTGACAAAACATAATATTAAAGCCATATTTGAAGCTAATGCTATCAGATTGTTACTTTCAATACTCAGTCTTTTGGAGTCATTTATGCTTTCCTTGTTTCCTGAAGATATGGGCCCTTAATTTTCTAGTGTTCTTTTCACTATTACTCCTTTCCTGAACCATGATGATTTTAATATCCCCAAAGACAATCTTTCTAACGCCCTGGACTTGATGTTCTTTAGCGAAATACTTCCTAAACTTCTCTGCCATGCAGACCATGCATGGTCGTATCCAACATCTTACTGTTATTGGTAAGTAACAATCATCCACAACTTCAAACTCAAGAGTTTCATTTTTACAATTACCTTCTCCTCTTATTTCTCTAGGTCTCTGACTTCAAAAATTATTGGTCTCCAAAGGGACAATCAATCCCCTCGTCCTACCACTTCTTACTGTTACTCCCCTTTCTCACGTCTTCAATTTGCTCCTCACTAAATTTGTTCCCTTGGTTTATCATTATCATCACTTCCTAATATATTTGTCAATTTAGTTCCTCTCTCCATTGTAGTCTGGGGAGCAACTCCAAACATGGTGAAATACCATATCCTTTTCCTTGATACTTTTGCCTGTGCAGTCAAATGTGTAAATCCATGGCCATTAACATGAGATGACCTTTTAAAACCATATTTTTATTTCCTGTTATTTTATAAATTCTATTTATCCTTCAAATCTTACACCTGTCCTGACAGTCCTCATTTTTGCTTGATACCTTGTTTCCAAATTCGTTGAAGAAAGGGAAGAAATATGAACAGACTTTTCAGGTTCTCCCATCACCACATGTATAAGTCTGCCTGCATCTTTGTCTGTCTCAGTAAATGACAAATCCAACTCCATTTTTTTCCAGTAACTCAAGGCAAAATCTTGTAGACAGTCAGAAATCTCATTCTGTTTTAATATCTAGGTCCAATCTGTGGAGCTCTAAAGAGATAAGAGAAATGTGAAAATGGGCTTAGCTGGCAGGAACAGAAATAGGGGCAAAGGGGAGGAAATGTTCAGAGAAATAGGGTCAACTGCAAATGGCTCACTGGCACCCAAGCATCCTGTTTCAAGCATTCAGCCCAAGCAACAGGGTCTTAATAAAACTTCCCTCCAGACCTGCCTCTTTGCAGACAGCCCCTTCCCTGCTGTGTTGTGCATTGTTGCACGCTTGCAACATACTTTTGTGCTTTCTCTAATAAATCTGCCTTTTTTTTTTTTCCTAGAATTGTCTTGGTAAATTATTCCACCTATGCGCCAGCCCCAGGCAGTTGTAAACCATGACACAATCCATCGGTAAATCCTGCTGGTCTTAGCGTTAGTGCCGATCAAGAATCTATTTCTTTTCAGTTCCATGGGAATATTATTTTCCTGCTGGACTGAGATATTTTTGTTTTGTTTTTTAAAGAGGATTTCAAAATGATTGTGATTGTGGTCTTCTAACTGGTTTCCCCTTGTATACCCTTGTCTACCATTCTATAGTCTGTTTTTCCAGGAGACAATGTAGTAAGTTTTAAAATATTTTGGATTAGGTCATTTCTCTGATTATCTCACTGAATAAAAGTCAAAGTGATTACAGTGCCTTTTGAACTATCTGAGAGCAGGAAACATTTTTTTAAGTATCTTTTAAAGTGTCCAACCCATCATGTACTGATATTTTATAAATATATACAAATAAATTATTAAAAGTAAAATAACAAATGTTAATTCAGGCCAATTAAAAGTAAATTCTTTCAGAGAATTATTTTACAGAATTACACCCACAAAATTTCAAATGCTTACTCTCAATTTCCATGTTCATTTAATCATACACTGATGACAGTTTGCAGAATGACATGAAGCTCTGTACCTACCTTGAATGGTCTACATGGCCTTCCAGGGTCTAGTTCATCGTTACCTTGCTCATCTTACCTCCTTCCACCCTTCCCTTCAGCTTTTCTTCAGGAGCCAATCAGCCTCATGACTTTGCTTTAAATGAGACAAGCATTCTTCCTCTTAGGCCCTTCGTACTTGTTCTCCACCTTAACTTCTTCCAGATTTTCACACTTGGTGTTTTAATAACCTAATATACAGAAATGTTTACCTAAGCAGTACTTTCCCCCAAAATTGTATTTCTGGTACAAATTTCCTATACTTAAATCATGCAGTTTATTTTCCAGTTTTATTAAAGCTTCACCCTTTACTCAATCATATTTTTTTCACAAGAAAAAAATGATAAAAATGTTGGTATGCCTGATTTTTACCTCTTTATGAGTATTATTGTGCTATGAACAGTGAGAGAAGGATTGGCTAGGTTCAGTTGAAGGCTTTGGTCAACTGTTAATAGTTTTACTTATTACATTATTTATTCCTGCACACTAGTATGGCAAATCCACAGTTCATCTAAATAAAATAATTCCAAAGTTCAAGCTCTCATGGCTACTTACAAAAATTTCATAAATTTACCACGTGCAACTTCAGTCTTTTGCAAACGACCCTACTTAGAATATCAGCTCTCATTCCATGCTCTCTACAATTTTTAAGATCTCTCAAGTTATAAGCTAAATATCTTCAAAAGTGTGTCTTTTATTTCTATAAGAATCAACATATATTGGCTATTGACAGTAGCTGGTGGAATTTATGAGAAAATCAACAAACTCTCCACGAATATTAAGATTCATTCTTCAGAACAATGTAGTTATCTGCAAACAAATCAGTAACTCATCAGCCTTTTAAATGTTTACCTATAAGTTTTCATAGATAGACAGAGAGATACATAGATTGATTGATTGAGGGATGGATGGATGATAGATTTTATTTGATGATAACAAGATGTGAGACATTGCCAGCAGAATTAACTGCTGTCTTTATTTTATTTTATTTATTTATTTATTTATTTTTATTATACTTTAAGTTCTAGGGTACATGTGCACAACATGCAGGTTTGTTACATATGTATACATGTGCCATGTTGGTGTGCTGCACCCATTAACTAGTCATTTACATTAGGTATATCTCCTAATGCTATCCCTCCCCCCTCCCCCCACCCCACTGCTGTTCTTTACACTGCATGAGGAGAGGTTGGAAAGAAAATTTGACATTATATAATAATGCATATTTTTCTCTCTTTCTTCATTATGCCACATGTTATTTTTATCAAACTTCCTAAAAGCTTGCTTTTATATCTTCATACTTGTTTCTTTATTTCTTTCTGTCCTGGCCTACATCCTTAAAGATTTTCTCCATTCTATCTGGAAACTCTACTTCCTTTCTCAGCAACTAGAGCATATGGTTATTTATTTTAAGACCTTACTATTTCTTATCTATCTATGTGATCATTCTCTTTTATTGCTCACAACATTTTTGACAATATCAGGGAGGAAAACAAAGATAGTGTTGATTGAAGGTCACTTTATATGTTTCATCAGCATCTATACTTCCTGGGTCTCAAATTGAACAATATTTCTTGTGTCCCTTCTGAAAGGAGCACTTGTAAATTGCCACCCCAAATTATCTATATTTCATGTCTATTTGTCAAAAAACTCATTTTAAAGAAGAATTTTATAAGTACATTTAACATGGGTATATTATCTGCTTCACTCAGTAAAAATACTGTAATACATATGGTTTATATCTAACTGAAATTTTATTATTATTTTCTATCACAAAATGTGTGTATCTTCAAGTAAAAATTAGTAATTCACCAATCTTTCTCTCAGTTCGGTAATATTAAGCAGCAATATTCATAGATTCTCTGTATGTTCTCTCTCTCATGCTTTCTATAGCTAAAAGATAAGATGCACTAAGAATTATATTTGACTATGAAAGCCGACTTTTTTGTATTTCCATGTAGTTCAACAGGATGCTGGTAGTTTCATTTCTAATTATTTTATTAAACTATTTCACTCAATGCTTAAAAGTTAATTACTTCCCATTTTATCCCTTAAATTTTTAAAGGTGTTTGTACACTATTAATGATCTGAAAAAATGAAGATATTTTAAAATATGTACATTTTATTCACTCAGTTTGCCTTCTGAATGCATCCAACAACCCTTAAATAATTTTATGTGAAGATTTAATAGATTTCATTCATTGGATGAAAATTTACTGACTAAATAACCATGCTAATGTTCTATCTTTGTCCGCAAATAGCTTAAAATGCAATAAGTGAAGAAACGTGAGTTCTCATTTAAAGCAATACAATACCAGTAAGATAAAGTAATATGGGATGAATATTTAAGGAAAGAATGGAGTGTTAAGAAACACTGAGTAATCAATTATGCCTATTTCATAGCATGGGAGTAAATAGGGAATAGAGGAATGAAGCGAGATGAGTTGAAGGCATAAAGAAACATTATTCCATAATAATTTCTAGTGCCAGACTAGGCCTTAGAGTGTTATCTTACAAATAATAGGTCATTACTGGATGTTTTCTAATGGGGGCACGACATACTTATACACTTTTAAAAGTCACTACAACTATAATGTGAGGAATACCTTACGGACAAACTAGCTTAGATGAAAAGGCAACTTGGGTGAAAAGAAAATTGCAATCAAGGAAAATTCATATGTAAAGCCATCGAGAACTACGGTAGTGTTAGTAGAGATGGAGAGAAGTAGATTAAAATAGGGATATTACAATGAAAGACATAATATGTTTAATTTGTATTGTATGTAAAATATGACACATCTGTTTTATTTATACTTGTTGTTATTTCATTTATAGTTTTTATAGGCATGGAGTCTCACTATGCTGCCAAGGCTAGTCTGGAACACCTGGCCTCAAGCCATCCTCCTGCCTCAGCTTCCTAATGTGCTGGGATCACAGACATGAGCCACCATGCCCAGCTATATACTTTAAATTTGGAAAAATCTAACAGTAAAGCAAATGGCCAGGAAATGTCTTTGGATACCTTATAGCATTGTCAGATTTTTAAGGCCAAATATTTAAAATTAAAACACACACAAGGAATCCACTTAATCTGAAGGACCATTTACAGTTGTACTCCTATTTCCATTATTAGTGTGAGGTGAAACAAATACTTAAACTTGATATTAACAAAATCTAATTGAAGCTCAAATTCCACTTCTAGCAAAGATGGAGTAATTGATGCTAGCCTTGCTCAGAATAATTAAAGAAAGTGTTTTTTAGATAATTGATAAGAGGAATGTGAACTTTGACAGTAAAGAAATATTCAAGTTGAAGTTCATGTCTCCTCCATATTTCTGCTTAGGAGCACTTTCCAGAGTAGTCATAGGGAAGAAGGGGCAAAGCAGAGTATAGTGTTCTTGCTGATGTGAAGAGGCACAGCTCAGAGCTCAGAACAACGAAATGGTAGAAATTTTTAAGGCAAACGCTGAAGAGGAAAGAGAGGCTGAAGATTGACAGAGGTGGACACTGTGTTTACATGAACATTTCTATAATTTTTGCCTAACACTAATATGTGGTTTTATGGGGTGAAATCTTAGGCTAACACAGAGGGAATATAATGGGGTGGCAAGCTCAGTAGAGATACCAAAGGGCAAAGGGTGCTGGGGAAATGTGAATCCTGGCCAAGAAGAAATTCACTCACACCTCAGTAAAACCATCCCTTAGAAATAAACACAACTCTCTGTACAGTAAAGGCCAGATCCTCAGGATAAGGGCAAAACAGGAGGAGCATTTTTAAAGTAATTATGAAAGCAAGCTTGGCAGGACAAAATAACTCACCAGTAATTTAAGTCTTTGTCAAAACAATCCAGAGACCTTCCAGAATGACATCAAGAATGGCTGTAATAGATATAATTGTTATAAAATGTATAAGACATATGAATGAGTAGAAAATAGTGATAATTAATGTTTTATTTTTTAAGTATTTATTTATTTATTTTTAATTATACTGTAAGTTCTGGGGTACATGTGCAGAACAGGTAGGTTTGTTACATAGGTAGACACGTGCCATGGTGGTTGGCTGCACCCATCAACCTGTCATCTACATTAGGTATTTCTCCTAGTGCTATCCCTCCCATAGTCCCCTACACCCAGACAGGCCCCGGTGTGTGATGTTCCCCTGCCTGTGTCCATGTGTCCTCATTTACAAAAGCCAAAATAGACATAATGGGATCTGATTAAACTAAAGAGCTTCTGTGCAGCAAAAGAAACTATCATCAGAGTGAACAGGCAGCACAAACACAGAATAGGAGAAAATTTGTGCAATCTATCCATCTGACAAAGCGCTGATATCCAGAATCTACAAAACTTAAACAAATTTATAAGAAAAAAACAACCCCATCAAAAAGTGGCAGAAAGATATAAACAGACACTTCTCAAAAGAAGACATTTATGCAGCCAACAAACATATGAAAAAAAGCTCATCATCACTGGTCATTAGAGAAATGCAAATCAAAACCACAATGGGATACCTATCTCACGCCAGTTAGAATGGCGATCATTAAAAAGTCAGGAAACAACAGATGCTGGAGATGATGTGGAGAAATTGAAACACTTTTACACTGTTGGTGGGAGTGTAAATTAGTTCAACCATTGTGGAAGACAGTGTGGTGATTCCTCAAGGATCTAGAACTAGAAATATCATTTGACCCAGCAATCCCATTACTGGGTATATACCCAAAGGATTATAAATCATTCTACTATCAAGACACATGCACAAGTATGTTTATTGCGGCACTGTTCACAATAGCAAAGACTTGGAACCAACCCAAATGCTCATCAGTAATAGACTGGATGAAGAAAATGTTACACATATACACCATGGAATACTATGCAGCCATAAAAAAGGTTGAGTTCATGTTCTTTGCAGGGACATGGATGACACTGGAAACCATCATTCTCAGCAAACTAACACAAGAACAGAAAACCAAACACCGCATATTCTCATTGATAATTAATTTTTTAAAAACTGACTGAGATAATGTAGATGTTGGAATTGGCAAAGACTTTAGAAAACTATTGTGACTATGTTCGATTATATGAACAAAATGATTGAGATGATGATTAAAGAGAAAGGTAGTCTGGGCAAAGCAGTAGAATCATCTATATGAACGAATGAATGAAATTTCAAAATTAAAGATTAAAAGGTAGAACATGAAAAAATTACTAGATTAATGTAATACAATTTTGGAGATTACAAAAGAAAAAGTAAGTAAACTTGAAGACAGAGTAATAGAAATTATCAAATATAAAGACTAATAGAAAATGAAATGTTTGCAAATAATGAACAATTTCTCACTTTTAACATCAAACATGATAAATGTAATTGAATTCTCAGAAATATAATTGTACGTAAAACTGTTTGAATAAAACATCAGATAAAACTTTCAAAAAGTTTTGAAAAACACAAACCTACGTATCCAAAAGTTTGGCTAATAATAAGAGTAAATACATTTTTTAAATGATGCTTAGGTCAGCAATAGTTTAATGCTTAGGTCAGCAATAGTTTGATGCTTAGGGCAGCAGTAGTTTGCATGTGGTAAACCAACCGCACAGAAAAAAGAAAAGGCAACCAATGTATAGGCCACATTCAATATAGGGCAACATTATTAATGGTAACTTCATTTTCATCATAAATAATAATGTATTCTATTCATTTTCATCAGAAGCAAGTCAAAAGGGCAGAAGATGAGATATCATCTTTAAAGTGTAAAAAGCCAAAAAATCAACCTAGAATTTTATATCACAAAAAAACTTTTAATTGATAATACTTGTGATAAGCGAAAGCTCAGAGAATTATTTGACTACTGACATGCACAAGAAAAATTCATCAAAAATCCAGTTAAACCCAAAATAAGTAGAAGAAAGGAAATAAGGTAAGTACAAAAAGTAAATGAGGCTGGGTGCAGTGTCTCACACCTGTAATCCCAGCACTTTGAGAGGTCGAGGTAAGAGTAAAGAGTATCATTTGAGCCCAGGAGCTTGAGACCAGCCTGGGCAATATGGCGAAACCCTGTCTCTACAAAAAAATACAAAAACTAGCCAGATGTGGTGGCATGTGCCTGTAGTCTCAGCTACTTGGGAGGCTGAGGTGAGAGGATCCCTTGATCCCAGGAGAAGGAGTCTGCAGTGACCTGAATCATGCCACTGCACTCCAGCCTAAATGACCAAACGAGACTCTGTCTCAAAAAAATAAAACAAATGAAATGAAATGAAATGCAAAACATAAATAAAATTAATTATGTGGTAAGCTAATTGTTTAAAAGTACTAATAAAATGAGTAAATCTGTTGATTTTACTGATAAAGGCAAAAAAAGAGAAATACCCATTAAAAATATCAGAAATAAAAGAGGTCTTCATAAATCCTACACATATTTTAAGAAGGGAATGTTATGTAGCCATATAATGCCAGCAAGTTTGAAATGTAGAAGAAATGGTTGAGTTCCTTGACTACATAAATTATCCAATTTGACTCTAAGCAAGAGTATATCAGAGTGCTCCCATACCAATTAAAAAACCGAATTTATAATAAAACACTTTCTTACAAAGAAAAGATGTGTAGTTTTAAATGGATAACTTTGCTGGTGAATCCTTTCAAACATTTAGAGAAAAAAATATTACAAATTCTCTGCAAACATTTTGAGAAAATAGAAGAGGAAGGAACACTTCCAAGCTAATCTTAGGAGGATAGCACTACCAATACCAAAACCAAAGACAATTAAAAGGAAAAAAATCAAACATATTTTGGGAAAAGATGCATTACATAGCCCAGAAGTATGGTTGGCTACTACAGGAAAATAACTGAATTGGGGACATGGAATAATACAAATAAAAACAATTCAATAAAAGTTAAGAGTGAGCCTGCACAGATTGTGAGGATAGCATTCTCTGTACAGGGAGAATGCATAGCTCTGATTGGAGTTCAAAAAGGTTTAGAAAAATGTTAAAATTGAAGATATAGCTCATGTAAGTGTGATGGTCAAAGATGGAAAAGGAAAGGTAAAGAGAATCTGGGCAACATATATTCTCATCTTACATAGTTTGAAGTCAAAATAAATTATTAATATCTTGATAGAAGACAATACAATGGTGGCTATCAAAGGCTGTGGACACAAGGGAGTGGGTGAGGTTGGGAAGGGGGAAAGCAGTGTTGGAGGGTGCAAGAGGAAAGAAGTGATGTTGTTCCAAGCTTACCAAGTTTCAGTTAGACAGGAGAAATATGTTCAAGTGATCTATTGCACAACATGGTGACCATGATTAATAATAATATATTATATATTTCAAAACTGCTAAAAGAGTAGATTTTAAACGTTAATAACTACAAAGAAATAATAAGCATGTGAGATAATGGATATGTTAATTTGCAAGATCTTATCATTCTAGAATATATACATGTATTAAAACATCTCATGGTATCCCATAAATATGTACAATTATTATTTGTCAATTAAAAATCAAACAAAACTCTAAAAGTGGAACTTTACAATTTAAGGAGAAGTTGTGGAAATAATTTTCTATCTAATTATCTAATTATATAAAAGAAAGTGTCAAAACAGAAGTAAGGCCTAAAATTAAGTCAAGAGTGATTAAGACAACATCTATAAGAATTAAAAACAAACTGTTGAATATGTTTGCCCATAGGGAGTTTTGTGGTTTTGAGGACAAAGAACTGTGAAATTATTTTTAAGCCATTCTGAAATAATTGCCTTTTTAAAATTAAAAAAAAAACTGCATATATTCTTTTAAAATTAAGGAAAATCATGTAATGGGATTCCAGTAAAACAACAACAAAAAATGTTAGATGAAACTGAAACTAGGAGATATGTCAACCAGCCAACCAATCAATCATTAAAGTAGCAGCTGTCTATTATTTTCAAGATTCCATATTAAGAAAGAGCACACTAAAATTATGTGTTGAAAAATTATGTATTGAAGAAGATTGCAACTTAACTCAGCAAGACATATGTTTCACACATATGCATATGCACACAAACTCTGTACAGGTTGAACACACTTTCTGATCTCCAAGAGTATAATGCCTTGAATGCAATCAGATGTGTTGTAATAGGGCCGGCACAGTGGCTCAGGCTTGTAATCCCAGCACTTTGGAAGGCTGAGGCAGACGGATCACTTGAATTCAGGAGTTTGAGACCAGCCTGGCCAATGTGGTACATGGTGAAAACTCGTTTCTACTAAAAATACAAAAAAAAAAAAAAAAAGGAAAATTAGCCAGGTATGGTGGCAGGTACTTGTGATCCCAGCTACTCGGGAGGCTGAGGGAGGAGAATCACTTAACCCGAGAGGCAGGCTGAGGTTGCAATGAGCCAAGATCACACCACTGCACTCCAGCCTGGATTAGAAAGTAAGAGTCCATCTCAAAAACAAACAAAAAATGTGCTGTAATAGCTAATGACAGTGATCTCAGTGCAGAAAGGAGAACCCCAAAAGCTCCCTGTGGAGCAGCTGTATATTTTTAAATTACACAGTCAAATATTAATTTACATTTAAAATATTTGAATATAAACATTTCAATTATTAAGTGATAATTCCAAAATAATCTGAAAATATCAGCTTTTTCAAGTTTCACAAATCCTCAAACAAAATGAATTGTGATTACGCCCCTCTTCCTAGCCAACTTTAGTAAAGTAGATCAATAAACAGAGTTGTTATCCTATCTTGACAGGGATTTTTGTCTACTTTGGTCAGGCCAATGTTTTCATGGATTACTTTATTTTTTAAGGCAATCTTCTCAGTTGTGACTCCAGCAGATGCATTGCAAGTCCCAGGGAACCTCCCACACTCAGAGACTGCTTTCAAAATAGATTCATACAAAAGTGAAAAAGCAATCAAACCTTAAACAAAGGCCAATGGATGGAAGCAGTGGCTCATGCCTGTAATCCCAGCACTTTGGGAGGCCGAGGCAAGTGGATCACCTGAGGTCAGGAGTTCAAGACCAGTCTGGCCAACATGATGAAACCCCATCTCTACTAAAACTACAAAAATTAGCCAGGCATGGTTGTGCACGCCTGTAGTCCCAGCTACTCGGGAGGCTGAGGCAGGAGAATTGATCGAACCAGGGAGGCAGAGCTTGCAGTGAGCCAAGATCACGCACCTGCACCCCAGCCTGGGGTGAGACTTCGTCTCAAAAAAAAAAGAAAAAAAATGCTAATATGTTTTATGCTGGCCGAGATATAAATAATATATAAAAATATAAGAGTATTCCTCTTTATTCCAAAAAATAAAGTAGCTCTATTGTGTTTATTGGATTGTTTTTCAGACAGGTTTCCTGGTTGCTATTGTTTTGGTTTAAATGAAAAGCATTTCAAGAAAATAAGGATTATATTTTTTCTCTTTTTATCATGTATCTATTGGATTAGTCCAATATCCCTCCTGTCTGGGGAACCTCATACACTGATTTTTCAGGTCAGTTCATATCATGAATCTGTTTTCATTCAAAGCCACCCAGTTGCACTCAGGGTCATATTGTAATACGGCTCCATGTACTTTATAATCTCTTTCTTAACCTGTTTTTCATGGACTTTCTTGCTTCCAGCCTTTTACATATGTTCTTTCCTCTGTCTAAAAGAATTTCTGACTTCCCTCCAACCCTAAACCTGATAGCTCTAGCTTCTTATGTGAGCTGGGACAAACCCTAATATTTAATCTGTATTGGAAGTTTACACAAACATTGGCTCACCTTCAGCTGAAATTGCCTTCAGTGTGCTTCAGCAATAAATGCCCAACTAGACGTTCAATTGACAAAGGGAACAAGGATACAAAATAGAAGAATTGCACCCTGTGTCTATCTTTTACTAAGCAAAGACCCAGACATTTGGCAGTTAAGGCAATTCAGGTCAATGGAGAGAGGAATCTATTTTGTTGAAAAGCCCAGATGACTTCTGTAAAATCCATTGAAACAAATCATTTATTTATTTCCACAGAGAGAACTTTGTCTAATCCCTAACTAGTTCCAATTCAGTATGCCTTGTCATAATTAAATGTTTACCTGTGTACATTCCATATTGTACTCCCAACCTAAGGAGCAAGGGAAAGAGGTGTCTGTAATCTATCACAGTACTTCGTATTAGCATGCACTCAACAAATGTTTGTTCATACGTCCTGAATATTTTTCTCATACCTACTATATATTAAGTTTTTACTGGAAAATGTACAGAGAGTAAGAGAGGCAATATCTTCATAAATCCTTTCTTCCATAATTTAAATTTAAAAAAAAAAGTTGGACAGGTGCGGTGGCTCACATCTGTAATCCCAGCATTTTGGGAGGCCAAGGCAGGTGGATCACGAGGTCAGGAGTTCAAGATCAGCCTGGCCAAGATGGTGAAACCCCGCCTCCACTAAAAATACAAAAAAAAAAAAAAATTAGTCGGGCGTGGTGGCAGTTGCTTGTGATCCCAGCTACTTGGGAGGCTGAGGCAGAGAATTGCTTGAACCCGGGAGGCGGAGGCTGCAGTGAGCCGAGATTGCACCACTGCACTCCAGCCTGGGTGACAGAGCGAAACTCCATCTCAAAAAAAAAAAAAAAAAAAAAAGATATCCATGCAATAGCAACTGACTATACAGGAACAAGAATTAAAAACAAAACAAAACACTGGACCTCGCCTCTGCAATAATGGAAGTGGAAGAGTGGAAGACAGTGGAAGAACATCTACAGACTATTGAGAAGTTGAGACTGCAATTCAAATATCACATCTCCAAGCAAAATACCAAACATATGTTAGGCAAAAGAAAGGCATTTTTGAGCAACAACAAACATTAAAAGGATACATCTTTATGTATCTATTTGAAGAAAACTCTTAATAAAAATATATTTGAATTAACGATACTGATTTCAAAAGAAAGGACAAAAGGAGAGGGGAAGGCAGTGGTGATCCATCAGTCTTGAAATTAGTTAATTGTAAATAATGGATGTGTGGAAAACAAGTGGAAGTCGTGATTCTTGTAATAGAAAAAGTGCACAGAAAAGAAAAAAATAGTAATATTATGAAACTAAAATAAAATAAATTATGCCAGTACAAGCTAGGAAGTTGTAGAATGGGCTCTAGGAAGTGGGAGAGATTATTAAAGCAAAATTTCTCTAATAAGATTATCTTATATTATTGCCCCTAATAATTTTTGATCTCATTGGTCGTTGCCTAGTATGTAAACAGTATTCTTGATAGAGAAAGTAAAACTAAATAGTACAGACAACCTCTGCTACTGAAAGGTTGTCAGATGATTGTGAGAAAAAACACATTTTTTAAATAGAGAATAGAAAAATGCTCAAGAAGCTGTGAACTTTAGAGGTGAATTTATGCATGCAGAAAGGAGACCAAGAAGACAGATGTTTTCTGGAAAGAAATCGGTAGAAAGGGGGAAGGGGCAGTAATTTGTTAATAGCATTGCGTTTATTGTTTTAGGTTGTCTTAGTTCTGCTGTTTCCTGGAAGCATGGCCATCAGAGAAGCACTACCAGCTGCCACCGCAGACTCCAGAAGCAACTGTGGAATAGCAAATAGCTAGATTGTCCCTGAAAAAGTGCCAGTTTGCTCCTCTCTCCCCAACCTTTCCTATAACACACACACACACACACACCAGACTTACTGCATTCTTTTTAACTTGATAGATGTAAATGTTTCTTTTTCTTACTATGTGAAAGTCAAATACGTATGAGCATTTAAAACATTATCTCTTTAGACACGTAAACTGAACCCATCTCCGTATCTGTGAAAGAATTTAGATCTCAGAGCCCTGCTGCAAGCACAGACCTTGGAATACAAGGATAATTGAGCAGTTTTCAAATCCAATGGGAAAGAGTGGGGGCAAATGTACCCCCAGCTGGCATGAGTAACTGGGAACTGGCATCTGTGGCTTATAATTCCAACCCTTATGGTGAAAGGAAAAATGCACATACATACTCTATTAGGGTCTATTTTCAATTGATCATTGTCTCTTTTCAGTTGTTTCATTTAGAAGCCTTGTAATTAACCTTCACCCAGAGGTTTCATTTGCTGAAATGGATTGCATATTTTTGGCTGCGTTGTTTGAGGAGTAGAATGAGATCAATATAGTCAATAAGATTAAAATAGAATGTATTCAAATTGTTCAATGCAATTGGACACATTTGACATATCTTAGCGTATTAAGGATTAAACTGAGGAAATAAATTAATTTCAATTTATAATAATAATGAAGGAGCAAACTAAGAAAACAAGCTACTCAAGGAAGAAAAAAATCCTTCAGAGCTTTCTTTTTTCTCACTAAATTGAGGTGACAACTGTGCTGGGATTTCTAGTCCCTTTGTTATCACTATCATCACTATCACTGGGTCACCTTGTCATACATCTCATTAGTTACACATAATTCTGTAGAAACTGCAATAATCAGTGTACATCCAGATAGGTTTCAATGTCATCTCTCCAAAATGTCTATTGACAAAATGGAAGTGATTCGATATGTTAGCCAAAATTAGAACCTTCAGAGTTCTGTCAGTAGGAAAAAATAGATATATTTGATGTTTCTAAACAATTTTTTTATTACTAAAGGTGATTTAGGCATAAGCAATAACAAACAATAAACATGGCTAGTAACAACTAACATACTGCAGCCAATAATCATTAAGCACATCTTCAGTGCCCCTTGTCCTCAAAGGTAATGGAGGTGAAGTTGGGAGAGACAGGTCAATCATTTCACCTATGAATGAAGTAAGATGCTGACTGATTCATTACACCTGTGAACATTTTCCAATTGAGGACACATGTTGGTAAGGTCATATTCACTTATCTATTATTGATCCTGTTCTCTCTTTTCTCTGTCACTTTCAGAAAAGGTGTAATGAAAAACAGCAAATTAGTCAGAAAATAACTTTTATGAACCAAAGTTGTGCCAATTCATGAACTTTGCAAAGTATTCTTTCATTTGCCATCTGAATGTGAGCATCACAGATGATGCAAGGGAGACAGAAAAAAAAGCAAATGAGTAAATGAGTAAAAAACAATGCATGGCTAAAATAGTTCGGTATATAATGCTGAATAACGAGCTTCAAAGGGAGCAGAAATTTCCACACAAAGCCTCCTACAACTTTTAGAAAATTACATCGTTTTTCTTAATTTATAAAGTAATACTACAAAAGCAAATAAGAAAAAAAGAAAGAGAGAAGGAAGGAAACCTGAAATTTACTCATATTTTTCTGCTATTAGAATGAACTGGTTTTGTGTTATTAATAGACTCAAACAGCTTTTACTAGTATCACTCCCATGTCACAATGTGTTGACACATTATGTATTTTCTAACACATTTGGAATGCTAGGTTTCCCTAGTGAATCTCAGCATCTCGGAAGATGAAAACAAAATCTGAACATTGTCAGAAACATCCAACTGTGTTCTAATTTAGAGACTCAGTGGACTACCCAATTGTCTTGAGATGTCCATTGTAGGATAGAAAATAAACCTTTTTCAAAAAAAGTATTACTTATTTAACTATTTATCTTTCCTTTGTGGCATACTCCTATTATGATTCTCATTCTTCTTGTCCCCTGGTTCACATATGCGAAATAAATTAGTTGAGACCAGAAAACTTCAAAAAAAATCGAGAAATCTCAAAGAAAAAATTATATTACATGGCAAAATATTACATTAACCACTGCTAATAGTTCTTGTATTCTTCCCTCAATCATTGTCTCTGAGCACACTTATATAGAGAAAATGAATAAATATATATATCATTATATCCTCTTTGAACACCTGATTTCCAGTAGCTATGCTTCAGTCAGTATGTGAATTTGGTATTTCTCTATGGTTAGACATTTGAATTATTTTATTTTTTTCACAATCATGGTTGCCAAGTACATTCATGAACATAACATTTTGTTTCCATTTCTTACCATTTTTAGTAGAGTTTCATACAAATGAAATAACATAATCTTAAAAACTTTTTTTTTCAGTTAGACATACAGTAGTTCCTCAGTATTCATGGGGTATTTGTTCCAGGACTTCCCACCAATACCAAAATCCAAGGATGCTCAAGTCCTTTATACAGAAAGATGTAATATTTGTGTACAACCTCTGCACATCCTCCTATATACAACTCCGCACATCATATATACATCACCCCTAGGCTACTTATAATACCTAATACAATGTAAATATTTTGTAAATATTTGTTTTATCATATTTTATTTGTATTATTTTTATTGTTTTTTTAAAATTGTTTCTTTATTCAAATATTTTTGATCTGCCATTGGTTGAATCCAGGGATACAGAACCCACAGACATGAAGGGGCTACTGTACCCTCATTTTGCTTTAGTGAAATATTGAAAAAAAATCCCAAAATGTAAAGGGCATGAGTGTGCAAGGTTTTGCTATTTCACAGACAGTTGCTATGTTTAGCAGCTCTTTCTGCTTTGGATATTTACTTAAAATATTTGGGTTTTGGTTTCTGTCTTAGTCTAAGAAGAAAATAAACTTTCCTCTAGAGATTACTTGAAATACCACATATAAATGGTTACCATAATCCCTAGCAAATATGTAGTGTTCATAAGTGGTAAATATTATTGTTATACCTTGCAAGCACTGCCCTGTGTTTAAGAGTCTCGTGTCCTCTAGAACCGGACAGCTTGATGATGAACCTAGGTTTTTCCACTGCACTAATTATAAAAACAAGTTTTGAATTTTTATGTGCCTCAAAGTGAGAATACTAATAGTGCCTACTTCATAAGGATGTTTTGAAGATAAATTGCTAATACATATAACTCAAGTCTTAGAAAAACACAAATCACATATTGGATGCTTAATAAATGTGGGCTACTACATACACTATTAATACTGCAATGTTTACCCTACACCTTCTTTAGGATGTATCTTATTTTAAAATTATAAATTATTTTCAAATGTCCCAGTTATAAAAGAAATATTTTGTTTTTATAAATCATACTTTGAATACTGTTGTGTTGAACATCTTTGATTCCTCTTCTCAGAATTGACAAACCCCATAAATTTTTCTCTAGGTGATGGCAATCAAGAATGTTTGTGTTTTAACTATTTGTTCTTTGTATTTTCTTGCACAGTTTTTCCTAGTGTATATATGTTAACTTTGGTGATATTGGTTTTAGTTATATTTCCTTCATAGGTTGTCATATCCAACAAGCATCCACGGATTTTTCTTTTCATTTTTTGAAGGCTAGTGGGAGTTTGTTAATGTTCTGTTTAGCATTTGTTTATTTATTTATTTATTCATTTATTTATTTATTTTATTTATTTATTGAGACTGAGCTTCCCTCTTGTCACCCAGGCTGGAGTGCAATGGCATGATCTTGGCTCACTGCAACCTCCGCCTCCCGGATTCAAACAATTCTCCTGCCTCAGCCTTCCGAGTAGCTGGGATGACAGGTGCCCATGCGCAGCTAATTATTTTTATTTTTAGTAGGGACACAATTTCACCGTGTTGGCCAGGCTGGTCACAAACTCCTGACCTCATGTGATCCACCCATCTCGGCTTCCCAAAGTGCTGGGATTAGAGGCATGAGCCACCATGCCCAGCCAAGTTTATTTTTAATAGAAGGCAGAACGTAATAGTTGTAATTTCGTTGGCTACGTTTAACTTTTTGAATAGTGTTCATTTATGCACTTATGTACTTGTTTGATGCTGAGTGTTGTGCTATGGACTGAATGTTTGTGTCTTCCCAAAATTTATATGTTGAAGCCCTAATCCCCAGTGTGATGGTGTTTGGAGGTGGGAGCTTTGAAAGATTATTAGGTCATGAGGAGTGCTCATGATGGGATTAGAATTCCTTTAGGAAGAAGATGATTTCTCTCTGTGTCATGTGAGTATACAGCAAGAAGGCCTCCTTCTGAAAATTAGGAGGATGGCCCTTGCCAAGAACTGAGTGAGCCTGGCACTTATTCTTGGACTTCCCAGCCTCCAGAATTGTGAGAAATAAATGTTTGCAGCTTAGAGCCATGTAGTGTATGGTAGTTGTTATTGAAGCCTGAACTGACAACTGACTAACATACTGGATAAGGCTTAATGTAAAACTTCTATTACAAATTATCCATGTAACAAATGCTACTTTTAAATAGTTATCTTTCATTCATTTGTGATGTTTTCTGTGTTACATTAGCCTATTTCATTGCATTGATTTCTGTTTAGTCCATTTCATTCTGATATAACAAAATCCACAGACGGGGTCATTTATAAAGACAGAAATTTATTTACTCACATTTCCAGAGGCGGGAAAGTCCAAGATCAAGACACAGGCAAATTTAAAAGGGCCTGGTCTCCATATCCAAGATGGCGCCTTGAACGCTGTTTCTCACATGGGAGAAGAGCATAAGAGCTCACTCCTGCAAGCCTTTATATAACAGCATTAATCCTTTCCTGAAGGCAGACCCTTAATGACCCAAATACCTTTCAAAGTCCCATCCCCAACACTATTGCATTGCGCATTGTTTGCAACACATAAAATTGGGAGGAGACATTTAAATCATAGCAATTCCTTATAACTCATTTTAATAGTGCCCTACTATTTTGAGTCTGTTATTTCTATGATTTTATGTTAGGTAGAGCAAGACTTACAATTTTTTTTTCTTTTCTGAAACATTATAGCTATGACTTACACTTGTTTCATTAGTCCTCCATGAGGATTTAGAAATATGAATGTACGTATGTATGTATGAAAATATAGATAACAGTTTAATTATGTCGATATCTGTATTTTGTCTTGATATAGTGATATTTGTATTACTTTTTACAATATTGGAAAATAAAACATTTAAGCTTCTTATTGGTAGAATTAAAATATTTATTCCATGCCCATAAATCTTAAAATCTTAATATATATACATATATAACTATATATTATATATCATATGGTTAAAGTTACTGATTACTGGTTATTTGATTATCTTATGATTCTCAATTTGAAAAACATATTTATAACTTATTGTAGAAATTAGATACAGAGGACAACAAAGACTAATTTATACCTTTCAATCTGAATTGTAGAAGACACTATTAGATACTATTTGTAGCACAGAAAGATTAAAACACTAGATGCCTTCTATCCAACTAGGAAGTTTAGTAACTCATTTAATTAGCCTAAGCAGAAATATGAAAAATAGGGAGAAAATTTTAAATTTAATTCTGGATAAAGAGGCATGCACAAGTTTTGGCAAGAAAAAAATTATCTGAGATTTCCTGATATAATTGAAGGCAAGTATTTTAGAAGTCTCAAAATCTCTAAATAAATATCATTTATCCACTTTTTTTAGGAAGAAACATATATAAGAGCACTACACCATATACAAATGGTTTTAAAATTTTTCTGGGATTATGTCATTTATAATGTTTTTAAAAAATATAATCATCAGATAAGACTTCTGCTTCAATTACTGCTAATTTCTAGCTGAGAAAACACTAAAAAACAATTATCTGAATAATGTTACCAGTTTAATATATGATAATATTAATCAAGAGAGAGTATTTTACTCACCACTCATGAAATATTTAATACTAATGAATGCGTCTTCAAATACACTTAATAGTTCAAATATACAATTTTCTTATTTATGTTATTTCAAATATATGATATAACAAATATAAACAGTGATCATATCATTATTTATAAATAAAATAGGTTAAAATAAAAATGTTTCCTTCCAGTAGTAAATTATGGATATTGTTCTATTTACACAATGCAAATTTAAAGTTTTATTTTTATATTTTGATGGTTTAAAAATTTTAAGCCTATTTAACCCTGAACAGAAAATTTTATTCCAGCAAATCAGTGATCACTCAACTGAAAAAAACTAAATATGTAACATGAACATAATTGAACATATTTAAAAGTCTTTATTTTTATTTTTATCTTCTTGTTTGGATTGCGAATCTGAATTTTTAGAGACAATATTTAGTTCCCCATGTAACAATTTGCCAAAGGAATGATCACTTTCTATGAATCTTAATATCAAGGAACTTTTATAACACTAATCAACATTATTATTCACTGAATTTCTAGGATTATTATTTGTAGACTCAATCTATAGCTAATGTTATCAGGTTACTCAAAATAAAGTTAACAGAGAAAAACACACACTGTTCTATAAAAATAGTACAAAATACAAAGTTTTTCTTAGATATAGAGCTTAGTTTAGTGTTTACTGATGATTTCAAAAACAGCTTTATTCATAGCTACAGTGGCAGAATTTGAAACTATACAATAAATTTCACTGCATAATAACAATCTGCATGACTTTCAATAAAGATGATACTTTAAAACCATAATTTGAGTATAACTCCCAAACCTAAATACATATACATACACACACACACATACATCATGATAGTTTCAATTAATAACCTGAGAGTAGAAAAGAACTTGCTTTGTTCAACTATAAGGTAACCATTTCCATAATCCATATTCAGAACTCAAACATACCTCAGAGCATGGGGCCAAGGTTTCAAGCTTCCTGACCCCCAGCCAGCAGGCAACAGAGATCAGAAGAAAAGCTTTCTCTGTAATAAAAGTAAATAATTCCATTTAAAGCACAAAAACAAAACAAGGCTCTGTACTCTAAAACAGACATCTGGGGTGAGAACCACTTGCTGAGAAAAGAATGGAAAAGCTGCTGCCAGCTCATCATTCCCTGAGACTATGAATTATTTGGGGGACCTGGGAGAGGTGGGGACTGAGACAAACCACCCCGATGGCTTGGTGTCTAGATCTACAAATATCTACTGTCACCAAGGGACAAAGTCTCCATGCTGCTTTTGGACTGATAGAAACTGTGGTTGGTTGAAGTCATTGCCAAAACTTCTAGACACAGAGAGTAAAACACAAAGAGATAGATGCAAAAGGGAAAATGAATTTACATCTAGAATGAAACTCCGTCACTCTTAAACACATGGACAAATAGGCCATAAAAGAAAATTTATTTACAAAATTAAAATTAGACAATGACACATAATTCATTTTATTAAAGTATAATTTTAATCTTTAAAAATAAATGAATGATATCACAAAAACATAATATTGGCAAAATAATATTATAAAACAGAAGCAAGAAGATATTAAAGATATATGTGTACAGTGCATATGAATGGATCTCTGACTGATGATGGGTCAACAATTTTTTGAATTTACAAAAACAAAACCATACTTCAAGTAGCTATACAACCATTCTGAGGGGTTTTTTTGCTTTTTAAAATTATTTTTAATTAATATATAGGAATTGTACATATTTATGGGGTACAGTGTAGTATTTGGTACATGTATATACAATGTGTAATGATCTAATCAGGGTAACTAGCACATTCATCACCTCAAGCATTTATTATTTATTTGTGTTGGAATCATTCAAAATTTGCTCTTTTAGTTATTTGAAAATATAAAATATTTTTTTTTTTTTGAGACAGGGTCTAGCCCTGTTGCCCAGGCTGGAATGCAGTGGTGCAATGTCGGCTCACTGCAGCCTCCGCCTCCCACGTTCAAGCAATTATCCCACCTCAGCCTCCCAAGTAGCTGGGATTACAGGGGCATGCCACCATACCCGGGTACTATTTGCATTTTCAGTAGAGATAGGGTTTTGCCATGTTGGCCAGGCTGGTCTGGAACTCCTGACTTCACGTGACCCACTCACCCCGGCCTCCCAAAGTGCTACAATTATAGGCATGAGCCACCATTCCTGGCCTGAAAATATAAAATAATTTTTTTTATAGTCACCTACAGTGCTTAAAGCAGTAGTAAAACTGATTCCTATTATCTAGCTGTAATTTTTTATCTGTTAACCAATTTTGTACTGTTCTTCCTCTCCATTTCCCTTCCCAGCATCTCAACTCACTGCAACGTCCCCCTCTTGGGTTCAAGCGGTTCTCCTGCCTCAGCCATCCAAGTAGCTGGGATTACAGGCATGCACCACCATGCCTGGTGAATTTTTTGTATTTTTAGTAGAGACAGGGTTTCACCATGTTGGCCAGGCTGGTCTCAAACTCCTGACCTTAGGTCATCTGCCTGCCTTGGCCTCCCAAAGTGCTGGGATTACAGGAGTGAGCCACTGTACCTAGCCAATAGTGTTTTCTATAATGGCTATACTAATTTCCATTTCCACCACAGTGTATAAGAGTTCCCCTTTCTATGCATTTGTTATCTTTTGTCTATTTTATAATAGCCATTGTAACTAGAGGGAGATTATATCTCATTGTGGTTTTAATTTGCATTTCCCTGATGATTAACGATGTTGAGTATTTTCTCATATACCTCTTGGCCATTTGTATGTCCTCTTTTGAGAGATGTCTATTTGGCTAATTTGCCAATTTTTATTCAATTTTTTTCTTTGATGTTGAGCTGTTTGAGTTTCTTTTGTATTCTGAATATTAATTCCTTGTCAAATGAATGACTTTGCAAATATTTTCTTTCTTTCTGCAGGTTATCTTTTTATTCTGTTATAACCATTCTGTTTTTCACTTTCAGTTTAGTATTCAATAAACTACATAAGATATTGAAAACTTTGTTATAAAATAGGCTTTGTGTTAACATAGGCTTTACCCATCTGTAGGTTAGTGTAAGTGTTCTGAGCATGTATAAGTTAGGCTAAGCTAAGCTATGATGTTCAATTCATTAGGTATATTTTATACATTTCAACTTACAATATTTTCAGCCAGCAACATGTTTATTGGAACATAGCCCCATTGTAAATTAAGAAGTATCTGTATAGGTACATAAAGTGAATTCAGAAATCATGGGAATGTTAGTTTTGTATGTGTGTTAGTGTGTGCATGCACAATGCATGTGTGGGTTTAAAAGAAAATTGAGGGTTCTAAGATAAATATAACAAGGATTTATAAGACTTAACAGTGAGAAAAAATAATTACAAAATTTCCAATTTTAAAAAAATTGGGCTAGGCATGGTCGCTCACTCTTGTAATCCCAGCACTTTGGGAGGCCAAGGCAGGCAGATCACGAGGTCAGAGATCGAGACTATCTTGGCCAACACAGTGAAACCTTGTCTCTACAAAAATACAGAAATTAGCTGGGTGTGGTGGTGCATGCCTGTAATCCCAGCTACTCAGGAGGCTGAGGCATGAAAATCGCTAGAACCCAGGAGGTGGAGGTTGCAGTAAGCCAAGATTGCACCACTGCACTCTAGCCTGGTGACAGAGTGAGACTCCATCTGAAAAAAAAAAAAAAAAAAAAAAAAAAAAAAAAAAAAAAATGAGTTATCAAATTGAGGGAACACTCTAATTCACTCTAAAACACTCATATTCTACGAACCCTATATTGAGTCAACGGGGAAAGTTTAATATTATTTTTGCGGAAACGTCAAATAGTGAGATGCAGACACATGTCCCAAGCTTTAAATCCTCTTCTGTGGTAAAGAAGTAGATTATATATCACAAGATAGTCTTAAAATCAGTATTATGCAAACTACTGCTGTCAGCTTGAAGCACGGAATTCCATCTTCCCACATTCAGAACAAAGAAGATCTGCATACATTAAACATTAGAATTCAATTTGTCAAAGACCATTGCATCTGAATACAGTTATCATTAGATAGTGAAACTGAGACTATTAGTGGCCCTGCCAGTTGAAATTTATCCTGTTCAAGGAAGAGGAAAATGTAGTTGGGGGGAAAAATGTTCAATCTGAAAGAAAAGAAGTGATCATTGTAATTTGTCAAGCTACACTCTTCACATATCTACATTACTCTTTTTATACTTTAACAATTTAGGCATATTGCAAAGCTTTAATTACTATTTAGGGCCACTGGAGGGCTATTTATAAAGACAACAGTAACACTAAGAGTACATAATGCCCATGTGGTGAGAAGGAGTTAATATAACTTCCGAAGGAAATTAACCTCCCAGAAGATGAAACTTACTGCTTTAAGAGCTTCTGATTTTTCGTTGTTTCCTGATGAAGTCAAAACACTCCAATTAATATTGACATTCTCTTCATATTGTAACTAGTTCAGGTTATGTTGTTTAGGGCAAGGGGAGAAATAGGAGAAAATACAGCAAATAAGTTTTCAAGTGACTATCATAAGGATTTTATCTCAAATATTTATTGTGCATTTTATTTCTCCTCCTTCTTTGCGTGGATATATCCCTTTTGAAGATATGTAGTTTGGATACTGAATTTAAATTGAAGAAAAAGGTTAATGTATTAACAATAGTAAGATCATTCATTAGACTTGTAATCAATTATATTCAAAAGTGGAATGGAGAACACAATGAGAAAGGAAAGGATAATTTTTGAGATACCCACAGCTATGTTTTTTCTGATGCTTAAATTGCTGACAGGACCAAAAATATACCTGAGAACATTGCTTAGTACAGCTGGCAAAAAGCAAGGGAACAGATATTTAAGTGGCAAACAGTAGAAGGTCACACACTAGTGATTACACACACATATGCTGGAAATCAGCAGGGTGTCAAGGGAAAAGATAAAGTTCAGCTGAGCTAATACAGCAAAGAATCTATATGCAAACATATCCTTTACCCTAGATTATCAAGACAACATATTTACCGATCCCTATTTTTTAATTGGTCTTTCCTTACTAGCAGTGAAGTAGACTGCAAAAAAATGTGGCATTTCCCCTGATGTGATATTATTTGAGTACTCAAGTCTCATGTCAAACTTAAACACTACGTTTTTAACTTAATCTCTGTCGTAAAGGGATATAGTTCATAGATATAGGTTATTTACATTATGTGTGCTGTTTTAAATACATGAGCTTTCAGGCTTTTTAGTTAAACTTTGGAGGGCACTGACTCTATGTTCTTCCCTATAAACTAATCAAATTCACAAATGAAAAGAGACAGACGGCAAGGAGCAGAAGGAGGTAGGGTGAGAGCTAAGAAAACAGAGTAAAAAGGTTACTCTGGTGATTCCCAGTGTGGGGAAAGAATATAAATTCTACAGAAAAGGCACTCAACAGTCAATGTTGTGCTAGCAAGTGGCATTTTGATAGACATGTCAAGAACATGAGTTAATTGCTTTTTACGTAGAGAGCCTCACATGTCCAAATCTCTTTCTATGCTTTGTACATAATACTCAGCATCTGGTTATTTATAATGCTTTGCAAAGCCATGCGATGAAACAGAATTATTTTAAACTCAGTATGACCATTATCATCTCCTGGGATCCACACTCCACATTTATACTTCATCATTGAGCAAAACTCTACTCCAGCTCATGTGCAGTAAATGGGAAGATCAATGAGCCACTGCCAGTAGCTCCTGGTGGATGCTGGGCCCCTTTTGCACATGACACACAGGTTTTCATAACAGAACTGACTCTCAACGTCAACTCATTCCTCCAGTGCACCTACTCATTGTCACGGTGGATCATGTACTGGATCAGCACAGAAAGATCTAAGATAAGTCTCTACCAAGTTTGTTGCTGTTGCTACTGTTCTACATGGAAACATAAGAGCTCCATTGGAGAAATAGGAACACTTTTACACTGTTGGTGGGATTGTAAACTAGTTCAACCATTGTGGAAGTCAGTGTGGCGATTCCTCAGGGATCTAGAACTAGAAATACCATTAGACCCAGCAATCCCATTACTGGGTATACACCCAAAGGATTATAAATCATGCTGCTATAAAGGCACATGCACACATATGTCTATTGTGGCACTATTCACAATAGCAAAGACTTGGAACCAACCCAAATGTCCAACAATGATAGACTGAATTAAGAAAATGTGGCACATATACACCATGGAATACTATGCAGCCATAAAAAATGATGAGTTCATGTCTTTATGAAGCGGGAAACCATCATTCCCAGCAAACTATTGCAAGGACAAAAAAACCAAACACTGCAAGCTCTCACTCGTAGGTGGGAATTGAACAATGAGAACAGATGGACACAGGAAAGGGAACATCACACACTGGGGCCTGTTGTGGGGTTGGGGGAGTGGGGAGGGATAGCATTGGGAGATATACCTAATGTTAAATGACGAGTTAATGGGTGCAGCACACCAAAATGGCACATGTATACATATGTAACTAATCTGCACATTGTGCACATGTAACCTAAAACTTAAAGTATAATTAAAAAAAAAAGAGCTCCATTGGCAATCTAAGAATAGCCGAGCTGGTTATCTCAAAGGATGCTTTATTTCTGGATTAGATGCATTATTAACTTCAGCACTTTTGAACATCATTTGGGTGACAAACCATTATTAAGCCTGTTTGAGCTCCTCACTGAGATCAAGATTAGACTTCTCACTGAACATTTTAAGTTTTCCCACGCCTCTCAGATTTGGATTATGTTTACTTGTTTTTGTTGTTGTTCTCTGTTCTTCTATATTTTCCAGGCCAAACTCCACTCACTTTAAGGTAGCAGTAAGCTTTTATAATAAACAAATCTTAACAATATGTCAGTCACCACTGATGTGTTTGTGGAAAACACTGGTGTTTGTGACTCCTTTCCTACAAATAATAGGTATGCATATTAATGGTCTTGGATCATAGGCAAAAGTATTGACCTTATGCTCTTGGACAGCATTTCTAGACCTGCCCTGGGCCAGAAAGGAGACCACTCCACTGGAGGGTGAGTTCCAAGCCTGGCAGCATTTACCACAAGCTGATGCAGATGCCCTTGGGCTTGAAGCAAAGATCTTCAGAAACCTGGCAGAACTCGCCATGGGCCAGTGGTAGTAGTGGCCACATGGACAGGCTCTTCTGCCTGTGAAAAGGGGAGAGTAAGAAGGACTTCATCATGTGTTTTGAGTGCCAGCTTAGCTGTAGTAGAATAGAATATTAAATAAACTGCTAAAGTTTTTTACTCTAATCCCTGGGATACTCCAAGGGCCTGGGGGAACTTGCCACTCTAAAGCAAAGAGCCCTGGGCATCATGGCAATAACGGCTACAGGGGTGCTTGCATCACCACACTCCCTGTTTCCAGGGTGCTCAGTAAAGACAGAGAGATTGTAGGTTTGGGAAAAAGTAAATGAAAAAAACAAAAGAAAACAAAACAAAAACAAGGGTTTCTGTCTGGTAACTCAGAGATCTCTTCCAGAACTCATCCAAGACCATCAAGACAGTACTGCTACAAGTTTGAAAAAACCACAGTGTTATTGGGCTTGAATCCCAAGTCCCTCCAAATACCTGGAAAGTCCTCAAAAGAAAGACAAACACAAATAAGCCCAGACTGTGAAAACTACAATAAATATCTATTTTTCAATGCCCAGGCAATAAAAAACATCTACAAGCATCAACACCTTCCAGGAAAACATGACCTAATCAAATGAACTAAATAAGGCACCAGGGATGAATCCCGGAGAAACAGTCATACATGACCTTTCAGGCAGAAAATTAAATGTGCTGTTTTAGAGATACTCAAAAAAATTTCAGATAGCAGAGAGGAGAGAATCAGAATTATATGAGATAAATTTAACAAAGAGATTGAAATTATTAAAAAGAATGAAGCAGAAATTCTAGGGTTGAAAAATGCAAATGACATGCTGAAAAATTCATCACAGTCTCCTAATAGCAGAATTCATCAGGAAGAAGAAAGAATTAGTGAGCTTGAAGACAGGCTATTTGAAAATACAGTCAGAGGAGACAAAATAATAAAAAATAAAAAACAATGAAGCACACCTACAAGATCTAGAAAACAGACTCCAAAGGGCAAATCTGAGAGTTATTGGCCTTCAAGATGAAGTAGAGAAAAAAATAGGAGCAGAAAGCTTATTCAAAGGGATAATATAGAATATCCCAAATCAAGAGAAAGATATCAACATTAAATTACAAAGAAAGTTATAGGACACCAAGCAGATTTAACCCAGAGAAGACTACCACAAGGGATTGAATAATCAAATTCCCAAATGTCAAGGATAAATGAAGAATTATAAAAGCAGCAAGAGAAAAGAAACCAATAACATATAACGGAGCTCCAATATGTCTGGCAGCAGACTTTTTAATGGAAGCCATACAGGCCAGAAGAGGGTGTCACAACATATTTAAGGTATTGAAGGAAAAAAACTTTTACCCTACAATAGTATATCCAGTGAATATATTCTCTGTGCACGAAGGAGAAATAAAGATATTCCCAGACAAACAATAGTTGAGTAATTTCATCAACACCAGACCTGTCCCACCAGAAATGCTAAAGGGAGTACTTCAGTCAGAAAGAAAAGGATATTAATGAACAACAACAAAAAAATCATTTGAAGATTTAAAGCTCACTGCTAATAATAAGAACATGCAAAAACACAGAATGATGTAACACCATAATTTTGGTGTGTAAAATTGTCTTGACTAAAGTAGAAAGACTAAATGATGAACCAATCAAAAAATATAATTACAGCAACTGCTCAAGATACAGACGGTACAATAAGACATAAAGAGAAACAGAAAAAGTTTAAAAGCTAGAAAATAAAGATAAAGAATAGGGTTATCATTAGTTTTATTTTGTGTTTTTGTTATGCAATCAGAATTAATTTCTCATCAGTTTAAAATAATAGGTTATGAGATAGTATTTGGAAACCTAATGGTTATCTCAAATCAGAAAATATACAATGAATACACAAAAATAAAAAACAACAAATCAAAGCATACTGCTAGATAAAATTATCTTCATTAAAAGGAAGACAGGAAGAGAAGAAGGAAGAGAAAGGCCACAAAACAGTCAAAAAACGAGTAATAAAATTGCAAGAGTGAGTCTTTACTTATCAATAATAACATTGAATGCAAATGCACTAAACTCTCCAATCAAAAGACAGAGAGGGGCTGAATGGATAAAAAAAAGTACTCAATGATCTGTTGCCTATAAGAAATACACTTCATACATAAAGATACACGTAGACTGAAAATAAAGGGATGGAAAAAGTTCAACATCACTTAATGATAAAAACCTTCAAAAACATGCATATAAAAGAAACACACTTCAACGTAATAAAGGCCATATATGACAGACCCACATGTATTATGAGGAAAAACTCAAAGCCTTTTCTCTTACATCTGAAACACAAGGATGCCTATTTTCACCACTGTTATTCACATAGTACTGGAAGTCTTAGCTAGAGCAATTAGACAAGAGAAAGAAATAAATAGCATCCAAATTGGAAAGGAAGAAAAACTGTCCTTGTTAGCAGATGATATAATCATATATTTAGAAAACTCTAAAGACTATTATCAGGAAAATATTATAACTTATAAATTCACTAAAGCTGCAGGATACAAAATCAACATACATAAATTAGTAGCATTTCTAAATGCCAACACTGAACAATCTGAAAAAGAAATCAATAAAATAATACCATAAACAATAACCACAAATAAAATTACATACCTAGGAGTTAACATCACCAAATAAGTGAAAGATCTCTACAACAAAACCTATAAAACACTAATGAAATAAATTTGAGAGGACACCAAAAATGGAAAGATATTTCATGTTCATGAATTTGAGGAACAATATTGTTAAAATCTGCACAGTACCCAAAGCAATCTACTGATTCAATGCAATCCCTATCAAAATACCAGTGACATTCTTCACAGAAATAGAGAAAATGATCCTAAAATGTATATGGAATGACAAAAGACCAGGATAACCAAAGCTATCCTGAACTAAAATATCAAAACTGGAGGAATTGCATTACCTTTCTTCAAATTATACCACAGAGCTATAGTAACCAAAACAGCATGGTACTGGCATAAAAACAGACACATAGACCAAAGGAACAGAATAGAGAATGGACAAATAAATCCACACACCTACATTGAACTCATTTTTGACAAAGGGGTCAAGAACATACATTGGGGAAAAAAACAGTAACTTCAATAAACGGGGCTGGGAAAACTAAATAGCAATATGCAGAAGAATTAAACATCTAGTCTAGATAGGGCTCTACCCTGTCACTTGCCTTATTTAAAAAAATCAAAGTTGATTAAAGACTTAAATCTAAGATCTCAAACTATGAAACTACTACAAAAACGTATTGAGGAAACTCTTCAGGACATTGGTGTGGGTAAAAATTTGAGTAATACCCCACAAGCACAAGCAACCAAAGCAAAAATGAACAAATGAGATCACACCAAGTTAGAAAGCTTCTGTACAATGAAGGAAACAATCAACAAAGTGAAGAGACAACCCACAGAATGAGAGAAAATATTTGCAAACTACCCATCTGACAAGGGATTGATAACCAGAGTATATGGAACCCAAACACCTCTTTAGAAAACTTCTAGTGATCTCATTGAAAAAAATAGACAAAGGGTCTCTGTAGACATTTCTCAAAAGAAGACATACAGATTCCAAACAGGCATATGAAGAGGTACTCAGCATCACTGATCATCAGAGAAATGGAAGTCAGAACTTACAGTGAGATATCATTTCACTTCAGTTAAAATGGCTTTTATCCAAAAGTTAAGCAATAGCAAACACTGGTGAGGATGGGGAGAAAAGGGAACCTTCATACATTTTCATTGGAAATGTAAATTTTCATAGTACAACGACGGTGGAGAACAGTTTGAAGGTTCCCCCAAAAATGAAAAATACAGCTACAAATGAACCGGTAACTCTACTGCTGGGTATAAACCCAGAGGATATCAGCATATTGAAGAGATATCTGCATTCTCATGTTTGTTTTAGCATAGTTAACAATAACCAAGATTTGGGAGCAACCTAAGTGTCCATCAACAAATGAATGGATAAAGAAAATGTGGTACTTAGACACAGTGAAGTACTATTCAGCTATTAAAAAAAATGAGATTCAGTCATTTGTAACAACATGAATGGAACTGGAGGTCATTATGTTAAGTAAAATAAGCCAGGAACAGAAAAACAAACTTCACATGTTCTCACTTATTTGTGGTATCTAAAAATCAAAACAATTGAACTTATGAAGATAAAGAATAGAAAGATGGTTACCAGAGTCTGGGAAGGGTAGTAGGTGGGTGGAAAGTGGGAGTAGGGATTGTTAACGGGTAAACAAAAAAAACAGAAATAATAAATAAGACCTAGTATTGATAGCACAACAGAGTGACTATAGTCAATAAATAATTTAATTGTACGTTTTTAAATAACTAAAATGGTATAATTAGATTGCTTGTAACACAAAGGATAAATGCTTGAAAGGATACTCAACTTTTTATTATGTGATTATTACTCATCCCATGCTTGTATCAAAATATCTCATGTACTCTATAAAAATATATACCTATATGTACCCACAAAAACTAAAAATAAAAGAAAATTATAAAAAATTATTTGTTTCAATTATTTGCGAGCTGAAATGTTGCAATTATTCACAAAATATTTCTAGAATAACATATCTAGACATGTATTTTTGAATGTTGAATGTTATTTTTAAAATATGTTAATATTTTAAATTAGATATCTTATTCATTCTTTCATTTAATGATTTAAATGCATCTTTTACCTAAAAGGTGCTCAGTGTGATTCTAAGAATTAGGTATAGTTTATTAAACAAATCCAAGTCCCTTACTTCTAGGAGCTTACAATGGATCAGAGGTGGGAGTTGGGGTAGAGAATAAAGGCAGGGCCAGGCAAATCAAAGTGAAATTAAAATACATTAGGGTAATTTAACTTTTGCAAACTTAATTAGTATCTTGTAATCCATATTTCACTAGTTAAAATTTGTCTTTCAATATAAGCACACACAGAAATTTTACTTTGATACCTACCCTGTGAAATGGATGAGAAAGCAAAGAATGACCCTTTCTTCATGTTTTCCACATATGATCAAATCACAAGCTACAGTTGAGTCAAACTCATAAAAATTGCTTTAATCTAGGTTTCTTTTGCTCCTGGACCTTCATACTAGTTCCAGTGGCCTGAATCTGGACTCTGGTGCACTTGTATGGACTATGCCTTAACATATACCACTAACTGTACATTACAAACAAGTTTATGAATAAGGATATAAGTAACACAAACTATCTACTTTTGCATTATCAAACCAGGTCAGGGATTTTTCCTGGGAAGAGATCTCTGATGGTAGATTGTCCACTGGCTACTCCAGAACCAACGTTTCAGATAGACCAGTCCCCATTTATATTTTGTCCAAGAGGAATCAGAGTAACATATTTAGGACTTATAACATGATACAAATTGCAGAAGCTCAAGTTTCTAATAAATCAAAACAACCACCCCAGTACTTATGTCTTGAAAAGGTAGTCATTTCAGAAGCCAGAGCCTATTTATTTTGGCTCATTTCTTTCTAAGACCTAATCAGAGAAATGAAAATTTAATTATGAAAGTGATGTTGATAAATCACAATGTTTTTCTATCCAATTCATGAAAAACCATACTGTATTATCATTAACTTATTTTCCATTTAAAATAAGATATTCTCAATACAGGCATATCTTCAAGATATTGTGTATTTGGTTCCAGATCACAGCAAAAAGCAAGTGACATATTTCTTTTTATTTCCAAGGTTATATAGAGTTATGTTATACTGTAGTCTATTCAGTGTATAATATCATTATGTCCAAAAAACAATATACATACCTTAATTTCAAAATCTTTTACCACTAAAATATGCTAGCAATCATCTGAGCCTTCAGTGAGTCATAATCTTTTTGCTAGTGGAGTGTCTTGCCCTGATGTTGATGGCTGCTGACTGATCAAGGTGGTAGCTGCTGAAGTTTGTGGTGGCTGGGGCACTTTCTTAAGATAAGACAGCAATGAAGTTTGCAATAGGCTTCCGCTTCCTTTAATGAAAGATTTTTCTGTGGAATGTGGTGATGTTTGACAACATTCCAGCTGTAGTAAAACTTTTTTCAAATTGGAGGTCAATCTTTACAAACATTTCCACTGCTTCATCAACTAGGTTTATGTAATATTCAAAATGTTTGTTGTCATTTGAACAATTTTCATGGCATCTTTACCCAGAATAAATTCCATCTCAAGTAACCACTTTCTTTGTTCATCCATAAGAAGCAACCCCTCATTTGTTCACATTTTACCATGAGATTGCAACAATTCATTCACATCTCAAGGCTTTATATCTAATTATAATTCTCTTGCTATTTGTACCATATCTGCAGTAACTTCTTCCACTGAAGTCTTGAACTTCTCAAAGTCATTTATGAGTTGTGGAGCCAACTGCTTTCAAATTCCTATTACTGTTTATTTTTTTACCTCTTCCCATGAATCACAAATGTTCTTAATGACATCTAAAATCGTGAATCCTTCCCAGAAGGTTTTCTGTTTACTTTGCCCAGATCCAAGAGAAGAATTACTATCTATGGAAACCATAGCCTTAAAAAACTATTTCTTAAATAATGAGGTTTAAGTGTTAAAATTACTCCTTGATCCATGAGCTACAGAATAGATGTTGTGTTAGCAAGCAGGAAAACAGAATTAATCTCCTTGTAAATTTCCATCGGATCTCTTGGATGACTAGGTATATTGTCAATGAGCAGTAACACTTTAAAAGAAATATTTTATTCTGAGCAGTAGGTCTCAACAGTGGGCTTAAAGTATTTAGTAAACCACTATGTAAACAAATATGCTATCATCTAGACATTGCTATCCTATTCATAGATAACACTCAAATTACATTTAGCATAATTTTTAAAGGCCTTAACACTATAGCCTTGGCTTCAATTGGAAGTCACAAATATGGTTTGGATCTGTGTCCCCACCCAAATCTCATATTTAATCATAATCCCAAATGTTGGAGGTGGGGCTTGAGTGGGAGGTGATTCAATTATGGGGGTGTATCATTTATGAAAGGTTAGCATCATCCCTTTGGTGCTGTTCTTGTGATAGAGTGCTCAGGAAATCTGATTGTTTGAAAGTGTATGGCACCTCCCCCCATCTTTTTCTTATGTGCCAGCCATGTAAGGAGTACCTGCTTCCCCTTTGCCTTCAGCCATGATTGTAACTTTCCTGAGGCCTCCCCAGAAGCCACTATGCTTCCTGTACAGCCTGAAGAACTTTGAGCCAATTAAACCTCTTTTCTTTATAAACTGCCCAGTCTCAGTTATGTCTTTATAGCAATGCAAGGACTGACTAATACAGTCAGTTCCAATTGTGTTGTCTCCTAACAAGAGCATCAGCCTTGTTTAAAGCTCTGAAGCCAGGCATTTACTTTTTCTGTCTAACTGTGGAAGTGTTAGACGGTATCTTCTTCCAATAGAAGACTGTCTTATTCACACTGAAAATCTGTTGTGTTGTGTAGTGTAGCCACCTTCGTAATTTATCTTAACTAGATGATCTGGATAACATGCTGTGGTTACTACATAAGCACTTACTGTTTCACCTTGTACTTTTATATTATGGAGATAGCTTATTTCCTTAAGCCTCATGAACCAACCTCTGCTAGATTCAAACTTTTCTTCTGCAGCTTTCTTACTTCTGTCAGCCTTCATAAAATTGAGAATTAGGACCATACTCTGGAGTAGGCTTTTCCTGAAAGAAATGTTGTGGCTGGTTGATCTTCCACCCAGACTACTAAAACTTTCTCCATATCAGCAATAAGGCTGTTTTGCTTTCTTATCATTTGTGTGTTCACTGGAGTAGCACTTTAAATTTCCTTCAAAAACATTTGTTTTGCATTCACAACTTGGCCAAATGGTTGGCACATGAGGCCTAACTTACAGGCTATCTCAGCTTTCAACATGCCTTCTTCACTAAGCTGAGTCATTTCTAGTTTTGAGTGAAAGTGAGAGATGTGTGACTTTTCATTTCACTTCAACATTTAGGGGCCATTGTAGGGTTATTAGCTGGTTTAACTTAAATATTATGTCTCAGGGGATAGGAAGGCCCAAGGAGAGGGAGGAAAAAATGGAAAACAGCCAGTTGATGGAGTAGTGAGAGCACATAGGACATTTAGCAAGTTTGTCATTCTTTGGCAAGAATTATTAAAATGTAACACAGGGACATGAAAAGAATGTCTGCTGTTGGGAAAATGACACCAACAGCACCAATAGATTTACTCGACACAAGGTTGCCACAAACTTAAATCACAATACCTGCGAAACACAGTAAAACAAAGTACAATAAAATAAGGTGTGCCTATATTTAAACTTAGGTTCACTAAAGCAGGTGTTCCATGAGATCAGGGAATTTTTTTGTTTTATTTCCTTTTATGTGCTTAGCATCTAAATAAATATCAGGTTCATAATAGGTGCTTCATAAATATATATTGAATGAACAAGTACACCTAAGTATATTTCCTTCTTTTTCATCCAGGAAAGATAAAACAATAGCATTCTGGAAAAAAAAAAAAAACTTTCACATGAACTTCTGCTTTCTTTTATTTTTTTCCTATTTGCTTCAAAATGAGAAATTTAGGAAAACCACTATAGGAAACATAGGGTAAATTACCCAGTCTCTCAGTTTATAAAATCCAGAATTCTTAAAGACTCTTTTAACTAACAGTAAAAAAAAAAAAAAAAAGCACCTCAAAAGATTTAATAAACAACTAAATTATTGTTTCATCAAGCCAGTAAATAATCAATTATATAATCTTCTGTCATGGCTGAATAAGTGTCCTATTTATAACCTCAGGAATTTGATTCAGTTTCTCTCTCTCTCTTCTTCCTCCTTCTCCTCCTCCTCTTCCTCCTCATCCTTCTCCTTTTTCTTCTCCTTCTCCTTCTTCCGCTTCCCCTTCCTCTTCCTCTCTTTGTATAGGCATTGTTCTCAGGGTGACACCTGAATATGAATTTGAGATGCCAACTGGCATTTCCAAACATACATGCTATTATAGCTTGAATTTCCAGAGGAAGAAAAAGTATGTTTCCTGATACATCATTCTGGTAAATGTCCCAAGGAAATAAGATGGTCTCAACATAATTTAAGTGTGCACCTCTCTAAGCCAACCACTGGGCTGCTAACCTGGGTCTCTTGTCTCCTGTTTATCTTTGGGCTAAAGACTAAAAGTCTGGATTAGGTTAGATCCACCCATGAGCTAGGTAGACAAAAAATATTATCAACCACTCATAGCCCACAGGGTGCTGCCTCATTCTCTGTATTTCAAACACTTTGGCCTTATTACTTTCTTCAAATATATCAAAGCTGTTTTATTCCTGAAAGCTTTCACATGTGTTATTCCATCTCTCTAGACTATCCCTCCTTCCTCTTCACCCTGACTAGCTCATATTTATCTGGCAGCCCTCAGTTGCTTGACCACTTCCTCATGAAAGCCGTCAATACTTTCCCAGGTTAGGGAAAATCCATTTACACATTGCTCCCTGTTAGAAAACATATATGCTTCTTTTCAGAGCTTGTCATTATTGTAATTACTTTCTAAAGATTTGTTGATTTTCTATTCCTTTACCAACAGGAGTACACAACCAAGAAAACAATCAACAAAGTGAAGAGACAACCAACAGAATGAGAGAAAATATTTGCAAACTACTCATCTGACAAGGAATTAATAACTAGAATATATAAGGAGCTCAAACATCTCTTCAGGAAATTTCTAATGATCTGATTTAAAAATGGGCAAGGAATCTGAGTAGACCTTGAATTCTACTCCTGATTCACTGTACTGAGGAGTACAGTGTTTTAGGTGGTTACTTTATCAGCATTGCTCCAGCACACAGCAAGCTATGTCTGTCAACAGGAAAGTGTTAAATGTATTCATTAATGAGTCAAAGAAAATGAGTCAAAGAAATGAGTTGATTAATTATATATTTGCTAACTGACTACTCTAGTGGGAGACTGACTTTTGCAGTTAAAGGCCAGATAGTAAATATTTAAGACTTTGCAGCAATGTATAGCTCCTGTGACATATTCTTATTTGGATTTTGATTGTTTTTCTGACTCTGTTTGGATTTTTAGTCATTTAGACCATCAGCCAGATTTGCCCTGTGGATCATAATTCATAGATCTCTTCATTACTCTACAGGTAGTTATGGTAATATCTCTGACTGCTTAATTATAGTGACATGCTAACTGTATCTCTTCTATCTTTTGCTTTTCTTTTCTTTCTGAGCACTTAGCTTTCTATTCCATGTAGATACTACTTCTGTTCTCAGCACCCAATCCACAGTCATATTGTTGTGATCCCTTCTCAAATTTATTTGTTACCAACTTTTTATCCCTGTAAAATGTCTGTGCATTTCATCTAGTCTCCTGCTGTCTGTGCCACACTGTGCCTTCTTCACTCTTTAGCCAAGTGCACCTGCTGCCATGGCTTCTTATTACTGTTTCAAATTTTTATGCTGCGTCATCATTCTTTCTGCTTTCTGCAGCATATAGTGTAATATTTCAACAGAAGAAGAAATGTTTATATAAAATAAACTGAGTAAAACAGACATTCTTAGGTCCTGACACCCAGAAAATAACATGCCATCTGCCCTCCATAAGGAGTTCTTTGCCAGAGGGACATAACCGTATCACGTGGGTAAGCTATTACTAATACGAAGATTGCACTGCAACCTACAAATTGTGTTTGTAATTCCAAACCTTCTGCCCTTTCACCGCCCTCAGTTCTATACTTCATTTTTAATTCTTCTTTCTCTGATTGTATATACCTTGACATCTCTTTCCCTGGAATACACAACCACTAATCTTGTGAATGGGAAACTCAGAGCATCTTACTCATTATAGCTTTATACCTTAAATTTCTAAATGTAAACTATAGGATCTATATTTTTTTAGGAAAGAAAACTTCACAATTCAAGTACTGCTGTTACATAATTAAAGGGAAGTAAGGCCAACCTAAAAAATATACACATAAAGGTATTTTAGAGTATATTATTTATTACTTTATTATATAAAATAGCTAATAAACAAAATATAAAAATTATAACAATCATCCAGGCCAAGTTCTTCGTGTTAGGAAGGTCCAGAGAGAAGAACTGATTTTTCCAAGGTTAGTTAGTTAGTAGCAGGTTGAAGTCTGAAAGCCCATCTCTTTACTCCAAGCTTTATATTTTTTCTGCATGGAAATGTATTATTCTTTCAGCAATTCTTTCTGAATCAGAATTGACTCTGTTCTTGGTGCTTTTTTCCCTGTTTTCTTGAACCCACACTTTTTCAATATAGATGAAGTCTCACTCTGCTGCAGTCTGGAATGCAGTGGTGCAATCACAGCCTCCAAATCCTGACCTCAAGTGATCCTCCTACCTCAGCCTCCCAAAGGGTTAGGATTACACGCATGAGCCACTGCTCCTGGCCCATCTAATTTCTTTATGATTGTGCCGTATGTCCGTTTGTCTTTTATTTAATTATTTATGTTTAATTTTTGCAGATACATGATAGGTATATATATTTACGGAGTATATGAGATATTTTGTTACAGGCATGCAATGCATGACAATCACAGCGTGAATAATGGGCTATTCATCCCCTAAAGCATTTATCCTTTGTGTTACTAACAACACAATTATATCCTTTGAGCTACTTTAAAATGTATAATTAAATTATACTTGACTACAGTCACCCTGTTTTGATATCAAATATTAGGTCTTATTCATTCTTTCTATTTTTTTGTACCCATTAAAAATCTTCGCCTCCCACCCAATCCCCCACTATACTTCCAGCCTCTGGTAACCATTATTCTGCTATCTATCTCTCTGAGTTTAATTGTTTTGACTTTTAGATCCCACAAGTAAGTAAAAACATGCAACGTTTTTCTTTCTACGCCTGGCTTATTTTACCTAACAAAAGGAGCTCCGGTTCCACACGTGTTGTTGCAAATCACTGAATCTAATTCTTTTTTATGGCTCAATAGTACTCCATTGTGTATAAATACCACATTTTCTTCCATTCATCTCTTTATGGACTCTTAGGTTGCTTCCAAATCTTGACTACAATGAACAGAACAGCAACAAAAATGACAGTGCAGATATCTCCTCAATATACTGATTTCCTTTCTTCTTGGTACATACCCAGCAATAGGGTTACTGGATCATATGGTAGCTCTATTTTTAGTTTTTTTGAGGAACCACCAGACTGGTTTTCCTAGTGGTCATCCTAATTTACATTCCCACTAACAGTGTATGAGGGTTCCCTTTTCTCCACATCCTCACCAGCATTTATTATTGCCTGACTTTTGGATAAAAGCTATTTTAATTGGAGTGAGATAATATCTCACTGTAGCTTTGATTTCCATTTCTCTGATGATCGGTGATGCTGAGCACCTCTTCATATGCCAGTTTGCAACCTGTATGTCTTCTTTTGAGAAATGTCTACTCAGATTCCTTGCCCACTTTTTGATCAGATCATTGAAATTTTCCTAAAGAGATGTTTGAGCTCCTTATATATTCTGGTTATTAATTCCTTGTCAGATGAGTAGTTTGCAAATGTGTTCTCTCATTCTGTGCATTGTCTCTTCACTTTGTTGATTGTTTTCTCGGTTGTGCAGAAGCTTTTTAACTTGAGATCCCATTTATGTATGCTTGCTTTTGTTGCCTGTGCTTGTGGGGTTTTACTAAATAAATTTTTGCCCAATCTGCTTCCTGGAGAGTTAAGCCAAGATTTCCTTGTAGTAGTTTCATAGTTTGAGATCTTAGTTTTAAGTCTTTAATCTATTTTGATTTGATTTTTGTATAAGATGAGAGATAGAGGTCTAGTTTCATTCTTCAGCATGTTGCTATTTAGCTTTCCCAGCACCACTTATTGAAGTAACTGTTTTTTCCCTAATGTGTGTTCTTGGCACCATTGTTAAAAATGACTTTACTGTAGAGGTATAGATTTGTTTGTGGGTTCTCAATCCTGTTCTATTGTTCTGTGTACCTGTTTTTATTCCAGTACCATGCTGTTTTGGTTACTATAGGTCAGTAGGATAATTTGAAGAAAGGTAATATGATTCCTCCAGTTTTTTTTTTTTTTTTATCTTTGCTCAGGATAGCTTTGGCTATTTTGGGTCTTTTGTGGTTCCATATGAATTTTAGAAACTTTTTTTCTACTTTTGTGAAGAGTGTCTTTGGTGTTTTGCAAGGAATTCCATTGAATATTTCAATTACTTTGGGTAGTGATATGGTTTGGGTTTGCGTTTCCACCCAACCTCATGTCAAATTGTAACCTCCAACGTAGGAGGGACCTAGTGGGTGGTGATTGGATCATGGAGGCAGATTTCCTCCTTGTTGTTCTTGTGATAGTGAGTTATCATGAGATTTGGTTGCTTAAAATTGTGTAGCACTTCCCCCTTTTCTCTCCTTCTCTAATAATTTAAGATGTACCTGCTTTCCCTTATGCCATGATTGAAAGTTTCCTAAGGCTTCCCCAGTCATGCTTCCTGTATAGCCTTTGTAACCATGAGCCAATTAAATCTCTTTTAACTATAAATTACCCAGTTTCAAGTATTTCTTTATAGCATTGCAAGAACAGACTAATACAGGTAGTATGGACATTTTAACAATATTTATTCTATCAATTTATAAACATGGAATATCTTCTCATTTTTATGTATCCTCTTCAATCTCCTTCATTAATGTTTTATAGTTTTTATTGTAGGGATCTTTCACTTCTTTGTTTACATTAATTTCTTGATACATAATTTTATTTGTGGCTATTAAAAATAGGATTACTTGATTGATTTCTTTTTCAGATTGTTCACTGTTGACATGTAAAAGTGATGGCAGTGGAGGTCCATCTGGAGCAGCTGCTGCAAAGATGCTGGCTGCAGCAGGGGAGGAGTGGCCAGGGCTGTCTGCTGGCGGGCAATAGGCAGAAGCCCCACCCCCTTCCAAGTTGGAGGGGTGGGAGCCCCACCCTCCCTGTTGCAGCTGTAGGCCCCCAGCCATGGCTATGGACCCAGGCATCTCTGCACTCTCTGGAGCCTGGGAAACCCCCTTACCCCTACAAGCTCGGAAGTGCCTGCTCCCACTGCCTGGGCTTTTTCTGCTCCTGGCATCCACTCTAATTTTGGAGCAAAGTTGTGGCCAAGCCCAGGTCAGTGTCACAACCTGGCCGTGTGTGCATCTGCTCAGGGCAGCACTGACATGACAGCCCTCTGCCTCCTAGGCCCCCTCTGGACTTTAGACCCCGTGGACACCGTGGACAGCAAGTTAATGGTAACAGGAGGCAAGGCAGACAGGCTCCTGGGTGAAAAAAGGCAGGTCCCAGGTGAAACCCCACTTTCAGGCCAGAGACTGCCTGAGGCCTGTGGGCCAGGCTGCCAGTTCTGTGAACCAGAGTAAGAATTTATGGTGCTTTTTCAGGGCCCACCACCCATGGACACACTTTTTCCCCTCTGAGGCCCATAAAAACCCCAGACTCAGCCAGACTTGGGCAGATGATGGGATGATCTGCCTGCAGAGACAAGCTACCCACTATGGGTTTCCTCTCTGCTGAGAGCTGAGCAGATGATGGGACAACTGGCCTGCAGAGAGGAACCACCCAGCTACCCACTGTGGGTCTCCTCTCTGCTGAAGGCTGAGCACTTATTGGGATGCCCTCCCTGTGGAGAGGAGTTACCCACTGTGAGCCTCCTCTCTGCTGAGAGCTAGACACTTGTCAGGATGACCTGCCTGCAGAGAAGAGCTACCCACTGTGGTTCTCCTCTGAGCTGTTCTGAAGTTCAATAAAACACCTCTTTGTATGGCTCACCCTCCACTTATCTGCATACCTCATTTTTTCCTGGACACAGATCAAGAACTTGGGACCCACTGAGGGTGGGGCTGAAAGAGCTGTAACACGAACAGGGTTGAAACACGCCCCTTACTCACCAGTTTGTGGGCAATGAGAGGGATAGAAGAAAGGAGGACAGAAAAGCTGCAGCACTTTGGGGAGCCCAGACCTAGGAGCTCCCTGAGCCAGGGCTGTAATACCTTCTTTGAGGAGCTGCAGTTCCTGGCATCTCCAAGCTTCCAGTCAGAAATGCATTCCCCAGAGCCAGCTGTGGAAGCTGATTGTGGTATGCCTGATCCACCACAGCCTCACAAGGAGCTGGAGCCTGTGCCAGCACCTGAAATTACCCACCCCACTGCAGCTGGCATGCCTGAATGTACACAGTGACTAGACCCCATGCTCGCTTGCTCAGACACCCCTCACCACTCTGCATCTTGCTCCCCTTTAACAGGCATGGGATCCAGGCTGGTAGTGCAAGTTGAGTGCAGCCTGGCAGACTGAGTAAGCGGAATGAGCCCAGCACGCCCAAGCAAATCTCGAGCAGGGGCAATATTGCCCACAGAGGTTCTGGCTGGTGAAGTGACAACCCAAGCATCCTTTGATGAAAGTGTTATTGATTTTGGTATGTTGATTTTGTATCCTTCAACGTTAGTAAATTTATTAGTTCTAGTAGTTTCTGGTGGAGTCTTTAGGGTTTTCCACCGATAAAATCATATGATCTGCAAACACAGATAATTTGACTTCCTTTCCAATTTGGAGGCCATTTATTTCTTTCTATTGTCTAGTTGCTCTAGCTAGGATTTCCAGTAATATGTGAAACAACAGTGGTTAAAGTAGGCATGCTTGCTTTGTTTCAGATCTTGGAGAAAAGGCTTTCAGTTTTTCCCCATTCAGTATGATACTAGCTGTGGGTCTGTTGTATGTGGCTTTTATTATGTTGTGGTATGTTTCTTCCATTACCAGCTTTTTGAGTTTTTTTTTTTTTTTTTTAGCCATGAACAATATTGAATTTTATTAAATGATTTTTCAGCATTAATTGAAATTATCATATGGCCTTTTTGTCCTTCATTCTGTTAATGTAATGTAGCACATTGATTGATTTGCATATATTGAGCCATCCTTGCACCCCAGAGATAAATCTTACTTGGTCATGGTGGCTAATCTTTCTAATGCATTATTCAATTTCATTTTCTGGTATTTCATTGAGGATTTTTACATCAATATTAATCAGAAATATTGGCCCACTGTTTTCTATTTTTGATATGTCTTTGTCTGGTTTTGGCATCAGGGTAATGTTGGCCTCATTGAATGAATTTGGAAGAATTCCCTCCTCCTCTATTTTTCTGAATAGCTTAAATATCTTTGATAATATTTCTTCTTTAATGTTTGGTAGAACTCAGCAGTTAAACCATCAGGTTAGGGGCTCTTCTTTACTGAGAAACTTCTTATTACAACTTCAAACTAGTTTCTTGTCTTTGCTCAGGTTTTGGATTTCTTTATGATTCAGTCTTGGTATGTTGTACACGTCTAGGAATTTTTCCATTTCCTCTAGATTTTCCAATTTATTGGCATATGGTTGTTCAGAATAGCCTCTCGTGATCCTTTGAATTTCTGTGGTATCATTTGTAATGTCTCCTTTTTCATTTCTAATTTTGCAGAATACACATCCTGCAGCCATTGAATGAAATTTTCTGTAAATACTCATTAGGTCCATTTGGTCTATAATGCAGATTAAGTCCAATGTTCTTTTGTTGATTTCCTGTCTGATGATCTGTCCAATGCTGAAAATTAAATGTTGAAGTCTCCAGGTCTTACCATATTGGGGTCTATCTATCTCTTTAGCTCTAATAATATTTGCTTTAAATATCTTTGTGCTCCAGTGTTAGATGCATATACATTTACTATTGATTTAACCTCTTAATGAATTTATTCTGTTATTATTGATTAATAATAACCTTCTTTGTGTCTTACAGTTTTGTCTTAAAATTTATTTTGTCTAATATAAATATAGCTATTCCTGCTATTTTATGGTTTCCATTTGTATGGAATATATTTTTCCATCTCTTTATTTTTAGTCTATGTGTGTCTTTATAGGTGAATTGTGTTTCTTATAGGCCACAGATGGTTGGGCCTTGTTTTTTTCTGTTCACACAGCTAATCTATGTCTTTTGATTGAAGCATTTAGTTCATTTACACTCAATGTTATTATTGAAAATATGAACTTACTCCTGCTAAAATTAAGGTGCCAGTGCACGGACTCTTGTCCATGTGCCATGGGAAATAAATTCCTTCTAAGTTCATTTTTGGTTTTAGCAGAATTAATTTATTTCCAGTTGTAGGACAGATGTACCCATTGTTTTCCTGTCTCTTAGACTGTGGTATTTTCAACTTCTAGACATCCTTCTGAGATCATGGATATTCCTTTCTAGCCTTTTACATGTAGCCCCTCTATCTTGAAAACCAGAACTGGTATGTAAAATCTTTCTTGTGCTTCAAATCACTCTGCTACCATCCAGGAAGACTATCTACTTCTAAAGGGCTAATTTGCTTAGATTAGGTCCACTTGGCTAAACTCTCATTTGTTTAAAGCAAAATCAATTGATTAGTATATTAACCAAGGTTATCACAAAAATGAGAATCAATAGGATATACAAGCATATGAAGAGATATGTTATAAGGAATTGGCTCACATGATTATGGAGGCTGGTGAGTCCAAATCTGCAATATGGGCCAGCAGGCTTCAGACCCAGTAGAGCTGATGAGGCATTGCCAATCTGAAGGCCAGACAGACTGGAGACCTAGGAGAACCTATGGTGCATTTACAGTCTGAAGGCCAATGGGGTGGGGACACAGGAAAGCTGATGGTACAGATAAAGTCTGAAGACAGTATGCTGGAGAATTTCTCCTTGCTTGGGGAGGCCTGTTTTTTGTTTTATTCAGGCCTACTGTTGGCTCAATCAGGCCCACTCACATTATGGTGGGCAATCTACTTACTCAAATTTAATTAACTTAAATGTTACCATCATCCAGATACACCTTCCAATTTGATACATAAAATTAACCTCCACAACTATAGACCTTAATTATATGTGCTAAATTTCTTTTGCAATGTTATATGCCATAATCATTGGTGTGATATCTCTTCATATTATAATCCCCAGAATTAGGACAGTGAATCTTGATGGGCTATTTTAGGATATTGCTTACCACATATTTAAAGTTCTTGTCTGTTAATTCTAACATTCATGTCATCTAAATTTCAATTAATATTAACTGCTTTTTCTTTTGACTTTTGATTACATATTTGTTACTTTATGTATTAGTTTATTCTCTCAGTTCTATAAAGAAATACTGGAGATTAGGTAATTTACAAAGAAAGGAGTTTTATTTGTCTCACAGTTCTGCAGTACCAAGTGGGAAACTTGCCCTCATGATCCAATCACTTCACACCAGGACTCACCTAGAATATTAGAGATTGCAATTCAACATGAAATTTGGGTAAGAACACAGATCTATATAATCTCATATCATATCATATTGTATCATACCATCATATCATATCATATAGTATAGCATAGCATAGCATATCATTCTGCTTTTGGCCTCTCCCAAACCTTATGTCTTTCTCACATTGCAAAATCCAATCATACCTTCCCAACAGTCCCTCAATGTCCTCACTTATTCCAGCATTAACTCAAAAGTCCAAAGTCCAAAGTCTCATCTGAGACAAGGCAAGTCCCTTCCACCTATGAGCCTGTAAAATAAGAAACAGGTTAGTTACTTCCAAGATAAAGTGGGGGTGCATGCATTGGGTATATATTCACATTGAAAAATGGAGGAATTGGTCCAAAGAAAGAGACTACAGGCTCCATGCAAGGCAGTCATTACAAATCTTAAAGCTCCAAATTAATCTCCTTTGCCTCCATTTCTCACATCGATGGCACACTGAGGCAAGAGGTGGGCTCCCAAGGTCTTGAGAAGTCCCACCTCTGTGGCTTTGTAGGGTTCAGTTCCCATGGCTGCTTTCAAGAACTGGCAGTGGAGACTCTGCGTGGGGGCTCCAACCCCACATTTGCACTCTGCATTGCCCTAGGAGAGTTTCTCCATGAGGGCTCCACCCCTGAGCAGGCTTCTGCCTGGACATCCAGGCTTTTTCGTACATCCTCTGAAATCTAGGGAAAGGCTCCCACACTTCAACTCTTGAGTTCTGTTCACCTGCAGGCTTAACACTTAAACAACCTCAGCCTGGAATTCATTGTCCATATTATTATCAGCAGTTTGGTCAAAGCCATTCAACAAGTCTCTAGGAATTGCCAAACTTTCCCATGTTAGATGATTACCACCCACTAGGTTCCTCCCATGACACATGGGGATTATAGGAACTACAATTCAAGATGAGATTTCAGTGGATGCCCAGCAAAACCATGTCAAGCTTCATACGCTTTTTGTCCCACAGCTCAGCTCTTTTAGCCTTCCAATGATTACTTTCTGATGGGATATTTTGTCTCCTTTTTTAAAAGTTTTATTTTATTTTTATGGGTTTGGGGGGTACAAGTGCCATTTTGTTACATAAATATATTTTGTAGTGGTGAAGTCTGGGCTTTTAGCGTAACCATGAATAAATAGTGTTTAAGTGCAGGTCAGAGTTCACTGAAGGATTTAAAGCGACTTGTATGCAAGTTTTAGAATTGTCTCCTGTGGGTGGCTACCTTCTTTTCAGGATTTCCTTCTTCAATTTCCAGTGACTCTGGCAGCCCAGAACTCTGTCATTTAACACCCTGAATTAATAGGGTGGGATCTTTCTGCTTGACTGCTAGCCAACTTAGGCCTCATTGACATGGCATTTCAATCAGGTTAAAACATTATAAGAATGTATTTCTCTTAGTGTGCTTCCCTTTTTTTCAAGGGTTGCATTTACACAAAATTTTATGTTTTGGTTTTCCTTCCAGTGCTTTTATTCGAGTGACTTTCTAATGGTTTTTCTTCAAATAGTTGAGGATAATGTTTTTTTTCATTTATTTAATTTTACATTTTGTCCAGATGTTATTATTTCTCTCTATGAGCAGATTTTGCTGATACCAGCTGATACTGAGCTATGTTGCTACTATTAAACCAGATCTTCCTGCTGACATTTTATTTAAAATGTTAACAAATATTTCGCTGACACAAATAACAATAAAATTTGATGGTAGTTGGTCTCCAAATTTGGAGATTTATTTTAAATTCATTTCATTTTGTATACAAATTATACTCACAAACATTTGTATGTTTACCGATATGCATGCTTATATACACAAACATCTGCACCCCTCCATACACATACACACACACTCACACACACACACATTTTTAGTAGAAATGAAATTTCTTCCAACTACATTTTAAGGAGACACTATATACCCTTTAATTTGCACTGTTCCAAATAACTACAAGTGATATTTGCCCAAGCATGCATACTAATCTATCCAAATTATTTATTCCTTTAAGATCAAATTCAATTTCTATATTCCAAAGAAAGAATTCTTCAACGACTGTTAACACTCACTGATATTTAAAACATGATTTAGCACTACTTTTCATACTGACTTGGCTTTCTCACTTTTTGAGTCATATATATTACTCATGCCATCTCAACTTGAGAGCAAACTTCTTCAAGATAAGTACAAAGTTTAAGTTTATTTTTTAAATAGTTCATAGTGGTAATGAAAGAGCTTAAGTTCTATACTCAAATAGAAATAAGTTGCAGTTCTGACATAATGCTTGGCTATGTGACTTTGACTCATTTTTTAAATTTTCTAGTCTCAGTTTCTCCCTCTGGAAAATGTAACTGAGAATGTTCTGTAGCTCATAAGTTGTTCTATCAATGTCATTATTTTTTTCTCTGGGATAATATTTTAATGTTGCAAACATATTTTGTTTTCAAAATTTTTGCTAATTTAGCTATAATTCTATTATATTTTTCCCTGTATACTCTGGGTATGTACTAAAAGTGAATTTAATCTGCGTGTTTCTGTTTATTGCCACACCTTCAATGACAAAAATTTAACATTTCTGGAATACAAATCCTATATGATACAGGTTGTGCATCCTTTATCCAAAATGCTTGGAACCAAAAATGTTTTAAATTTTTAATTTTTTTTAAAGCTTGGGATATTTACACATATATAATGAGCTATTTTGAGGATGAGACCCAAGTCTAAACACAAAATTTATTTGTGTTTCATATACAACTTATACATGTAGCCTGAAGGTAATTTTAATTTTCCCTTGGGGATACTGAATAAACTGTGTGTTATACGTTTGTGTTTTGATTGTGACCTGTCAGGTGTGGAATTTTCCACTTGTGGTGCCATATCAGTGCTCGAAACTTTCCGATTTTTGAAGCATTGTGGATTTCAGATTTTCTCTTTTTCTTTTTCTTTTTTTTTTCTTTTTTTTTTTTTTTTTTTTTTTTTGACAGTTTCACTCTTGTTGCCCAGACTGGAGTTCAATGGCACAATCTCAGCTCACCGCAACATCTGCCTCCTGGGTTCAAGCAGCTTCCTGACTCAGTCCCCCCAGTAGCTGGGATTACAGGCATGCTCCACCATGCCCGGCTAATTTTGTATTTTTAGTAGAGATAGGGTTTCTCCATGTTGGACAGGCTGGTCTCAAACTCTTGACCCTCGGGTGATCTGCCCACCTCCGCCTCCCAAAGTGCTGGGATTACAGGTGTGAGCCAACATGCCTGGCTCACATTTTCAAATTAAGGATGTTTAACCTGTACATCACTGATATCCATAATGAAGGTTGCATAGACATTTTAAGACATGCAAAAGGTATCAAATTGAGTACACCACTGTGGCTAAAAAATTCAATGTGAAATGAGTAGGCTGGTGAGAAATCGAATTTCCAAAACTTCAAATTTAATTTGAAATGATAACAAGCTTTATCAGTTTTGTGCTTTGCCTCAACTATCTGGATAAAATGCCTGTCTTCTACTAAACAGAAGAGTTAGCACTGGAAAATATAGAAATTTTCCCTTGGGGAAAAATTAAAACCAAATCTTTTTTTCCAAAAAATAATTATTATACAAACCTTTTAAACTGTGGATCCTTGAAACAATTACAATAATTAGATTATGATCAAAGATAAATGGGATGGTGCTTTATTTAGCTTACCATAATAAATACCCTTATATACTACACATTCTCGCCCTAGACACTGACTTTCCAGCGTCTGAAAACTGTGAAATAATTTGTACAAACACCATATTAAATTCAGCTTATGATTTAGATAAGAAGTTGAAAATATTCATTTGATTAAGTTAAGTTGTCATCATATCCTCCTGTATTTTACCATACCTCTCTCTTCTCAGAAGCCATCTTCTGATCTTTTTTAGGTGAAAACAAATCTGGAAAAATTTGTAGGCCATATCTTGATGATTATGGAAAGAAAAAAACAGATTTTTTTAATGGACATGTTTGTTATTATTGTAATAGGACAATGAAATTACATTTTTTGAATTAGTGCATATTTAACTATATGAATTCTAACCAAAAACAGAGGTTTACGTAAATTCAGAATATAACTAAATAAAAAATGCAAGGAGAAACACTAGGTTTTGATCAATGCACTTTTAATTGCTAAAATATATGTTTGGAATAATTGGTAGAATTAGGACAAGCTTTAATTTGAAGTTGTTAAATGTAGAAACTTTTTTTTGTATTTTCTTTTTAATCCCAAGCAGAAAAAGTGTATTTTGTATCTGAATATGAAAAAATTGGCTGGGTTTATTTGCCTTTTTAGATTTTGATTTCATTTTTTTACTTCCTCTAAACTCATAGTTCCTCTGTTTTTCTAAGGAGGAAGAGAAGGATGACGATAAATATTATCCCCACCTGTTAAGTTATTGAGGCATGCCCCATGATACTATGGTATAGGTGGGAAATCATATATTAAAATGTCATTTTCCCTTTTGCTATTATTCTATGGGCTATATATACCTAAATTTACATTTGAAAAATAAAAAAAAAATAAATGTTGCTGTTATTAACAATAGAAGAAAATAAGGGATTTAAATAATTTATAATTTAAATATTGTAATTATTTAAAACTCATTACACATCTGCTGAGTTTTTAATCCTTGGTTCTGTAATACAGGTAATTTTCATGTTTTGTGTATATAGTGAAAATGAAGTTACATAGTTTCCTTTTTTATCAATTAACTACCTTGTTCCTGTGTAGAAATTATGTCATTTAATTATCAAAACCTAGCTACGAAGTAGGAACTATTTTTATCCCATCTTGCAGAGAAGAAAAATGAGTTGCCGAGAGACTGCCGCAACTGGTTGATGGCAAAGCCAATATTTGGAGTCTGGAATTTTGACTGCAGGATCCAATCTTTTATCCATTGCCTTATTCTTCCTAACACTTAATGGGCCTTTCATAGAAAAAAATAACTCAAAAAATGAGCAGGTTGCGAAGCATGAACAGGCAAAAAGCTGAATGCCGAAATGGCCACGATGTGTGGTGTTGAAGAATATCTTATTTTTCTGCTCCGTTAGAGTTAAAGATACTCCTTTGCTGCTGAAGTGATCAAAGGAAAATCAAGACTGTTATTTGATTGTTTCTCAGGGTATATGCGTGCCTAAAACTGCCAATCACTAGTGTAGATGATACAAAGATAATTTTTTTGGACTTGGAATGGCCCAAGTTAAGATGAAAAGACAAACATATAAAGTTTACATAATGAATAAGAAAAAAGAAAAGAATACATTATTAGTACTCTCAGCTAAAGGATTTGGGAGATATTTTTGGGTAGATGTAGGTTCAGAGGGCAATGAGTGCATATGAGAGAAACTACAGAAAATGCAGGCAGTTCATAAAAAGGAGATAAAAAGTAATTTAATAAACATTTCTGTGAATTATGAATTTTGATACATACAGTTGTCTCCTAGTATCTGTGGCAGATTTTTTTCAGAACTCCCATATATACCAAAATTGGGGGATACTCAAGTCTCTTAAATAAAATAATATAGTATTTGAATATAACCTACACACATTCTCCTCTATATTTTAAATAATCTCTATATTACTTAGTATTCCTATGACATGCCTACATCATTTTATTCATGTGAATTCAATGTAGTACTCTGCATGCAGTAAATTGAAGTCTTGCTTTTTGAAACTATGTTGATATTTTTCTGAATGATTTTAATCCAGAGTTAGTGAATCAATGACACAGAACCCACAGATATGGAATGCTTACCATATGTGTAAAAAACTAGGTTTCATAAGTTATTTCAGTTCTTATAAATGTACTCTCTGATTTTGAACTACATGGGAAACACACAGACCCTCAAACACACACACAAATGCTCACACATACACTCACATGTTGACAGTCACGTATGATTGTCTTTACTCTCAAAAACTTTTATTTCTGTCTTAAAACAACACTGTAGCATACATCTTAGTGTATTCTAAATACAAATCCCATTCTACATGACATTACTGACTATTAGTCCATTTTGCATTGCTATAAAGAAATGTCTGAAACTGGATAGTTTATAAAGAAAAGAGGTTTATTTTGGCTCACAGTCTGCAGACTGTACAAGTGTGATGCTAGCATCCGCTTCTGGTGAGGCCTGAGGGAGCTTACAATCATGGTGTAAGGTGAAGGTGGAGCAGGCATATCACATGCTGAGAAAGGGAGCAAGAAAGAGAGGAGGAAGTTCCAGGCTCTTTTAAACAACCAGCCCTCATTTGAATGAGTGGAGTGAGAATTCACTTATTACTGTGGGAAAGGCACAAAGCCATTCATGAGGGATCCACCCCCATGACCAAAACACCTTCTACCTGGCCCCATCTTCAACACTAAGGATCGCATTTTAACATGAGATTTGGATAGGGTGACCATACAAACTATATCACTGACCAATGTTGATTTAATGTGTTGTTAAATATACTGAGGATAGAGTTCTCTTACTACATGACAGCATTCCTCATCCAAAATCCCATTTGACATCTACTTCAGACCAGCTCAGTCTAGGGAGACTTCCTCCAGAGAGGTTTAAATGGGCCTCTACCTCCACTTTATTTTCTTTATGCAGAACTATTTAGCTAATGCTCATCTTTTTTAGTCTTGCGTCCCAGTGGAACCACTATATGGGAAGCTTCTCTTATAGTTATCTTATAATGATAATCATCCAACCAAATTAGCTCCTTCCTTGGAAGCAAAATAACTACAAACTATTTTTTAAAATTACATGTGCTCATATAAATATGTAATCATAAATTAATACATAAATAAGTATACACACAAATTAGTTTTCAAGGAAATACATATGTATATAGTATTTATTAATACAAATAATTTCATTTTATATATTTCAAGGCTTTTCCTTATGAGAACTCTAAGAAAAAGTTTTATGGCTATCTTTTGATTAAATAATCGAATTTATTGAAAGGGAATATATAACATTTCAAATAGATCTACATGTCCTTCAGAATATGAAACTAATTTAAAATTATTCTAAAACTAATAATAACTCATTTTCAATAGATTGAAGCTATGTTTGGTTTACTGGTAGCTAATATTTATAGTCATTTTAAAAATCAGAAATAAAAAAATCTGTGTATTTTCAAAGATAATACGCTAGTTTTTGTTTTCAAGACTTTTTGAAATAAAAATGATTTTTTTGTTGTTTGAGACAGTCTTGCTGTGTCACTCAGGCTGCAGTGCAGTGGCATAATCTTGGTTTACTATAACCTCCACCTCCCGGTTCAAGGGAATATCATGCCTCAGCCTCCTGAGTAGCTGGGGCTACAGGTGTGCACCACCATGCCTGGCTAATTTTTGTACGTTTAGTAATAACAGGGTCTCAGCATGTTTGCCAGGCTTGCCTTGAACTTTTGGCCTCAAGTGATCTGCCCGCCTTGGCCTCCCAAAGTGCTAGAATTACAGACATGAGCCATCAAACCTGGCCAAAAATGATATTTTTAAGTAAGCCAAAATAAAAGAAAGGTGTTACCACATTCTATGGAACCCATTGATTTTCAGAAAATCTGGGCCAGATTAGCAAGCACATGATGAAAGCAACAATGTTTTGCATTATTTAGGAAGATTACCTGGTTCATTCCAAGAAAATTTAAAAAAATTTCAAATGCATTTTTAGTTTATTGGAATATTTAAATGTTAATAGTATCTACTGAAAGTAATGCTAAAAGAAACAGGATTATTTTTCCCTCCATTTTACACATGAGAAAATGGAGGTGGAAAGAGTTTAAGTCATTTGCACCATGTCACACAGCCACTGCACGACAACACAATAATGCTAATACGAGAACTACTGCACACATTCTCTAATGAAATATGACAAAATATTGTATCTGTTTTCCCATCAGCAAGATAAATTCCAGTAACCACCATTATATCACTTGCATTGTCACCAAGATGAGGGGGAAAAAGTGAAAAACATACAGGACTTTGCCATTTTAACTCAGCAAATATCTTGAGATTAATATATTTCCTCTGAAATAAATATATCTCAGTTTAATTACTATCAATTAAGCACCAAAGATACGTATAAATATTTCATTTGCAGTATCCCTTTCTAAATGGAACCATGCTGTTTTCTCTGACTAGATCCAGTGTCTATATTAAATCAAAATTCGCTTAACTCAGGACTAAAAAAAATCAATGGATTTTTTTTTCCAAAAACCATCAAAAATACTATTTAGCATTTTAAAAACAAGTTGACTTCATTTAAAAAGAAATTTAAGTAGTTTTGTTGATACGGCCACAGATAACAAAGCTGGTATTTTTAAAGCAGCGAAACACAGCTCTATATTGCATTAAATTTCATACATACTGTGTTATTTTATATATTCTCTTTCATTCTCCTAAAAATGTCATTCACAGAGTGAGTGATTATTTGGCAGTTTTACATTTATAATTGACCAGTAATGAAAATGTAAATGAGAGGAAAAAATAAAAGATATTGTCAGATGGTGTTCAATTTATAGCTGAATTTTGTCATGTAATGTTCTATAATTGAAACAATATTTGGAAGAAATGATCTTAGAAGAAGTTCTTCCTGAAGGCATGCATATGGAGCATTATTCAAACTGCCCGTGTTGGAATTTTATTGGAAACAAGTTATTTTAAGATTTTTAGTAATATGAACACTTCAAAACTACAAAAGTACTTTTATACTGACAATAACATTGAGTAGACAAAATGTCTGGTAATAGCTCTATGCTTGAATATAGTTCTGCTATAAGAATATGACACTGGGCCACGCGTGGTGGCTCATGCCTGTAATCCCAGCACCTTGGGACACCGAGGCGGGTGGATCACTTGAGGTCAGGAGTTCGAGACCACCCTGGCCATTATGGCAAACCCCCGTCTCTACTAAAAATACGAATATTAGCTGGGAGTGATGGCTCATGCCTGTAATCCCAACTATTTGAGAGGCTGAAGCAGGAGAATCACTTGAACCTGGGAGGCAGAGCCTGCAGTGAGCCGAGATCATGCCACTGCACTCCACCTGGGGGACAGAGTGAAACTCCGTGTAGAAAAAAAAAGATAAAAGAATATGACGCTGGTGTAAGTCTCCTTAATTCCCAACTCCTTGTGGATTTTTAAAGTGGAAACATAGGCAAAACAAACAAACAAAAACAAACAAACAAAAGCAAACATCCCGAGCCTTTAAAGCTTGGGCTAATCATCTCCTAAAGGCCTTCATTTACCTCCTAAGGTCATTCAGTACCACATGTTAGAACCTTCCAGAACTTAGATTTGGGGAGAGAGAGGAGAAAGCTCGTAAATGGTTTTTTAGGGAAGCCATGAAAGTAAAGGAACTGAAAACAAAAACCCTCTGCTGGTTTCGAGTTTACAGATGAAAAATAAAGGCTACTGGCCTCCTAAAGTCCTCATTTGCTTTTGTTGTTGTTTGTTTGTTCTTTGAAATATGTATATTACCTTAAACTAAAACTCTGCATCATTTTAGCTCCTAATGGACTTATTATTCTGTGTTCTACTGTGCTTTTTGTAGATAAGGAGATAAAAATATCTTTTGGGAATTGAAACATGGACTGGACAAAAAAGAATAATACTTTAGAACTCTAGTTCAGGGAAAAAATTATTGTGATGAAAGCTTCTTTCTAGGCTACATTGGCCCATGTGCCTTAACCTTTGTCAAATAAGTTACAGCCAGCAAAGTCACAATAATTCTACATTGTACTAAAAACTGGTTTCTCAATTGGTGAGGTCACAGTAAATCAAAACAAAATAGCTAAGGTCACTGGTTTATTTCCACTGCACTCTTAATTCCATCCATCACCCACAGATCTGTACCTTACCCTTGGAAAGTAATTCTGAAAATGGGAATATTTGTTTTCTTAAATTTGGTGAATGGGATAAGAGAGTGTAAATGGAAATGTAAAAATAGATCACTAAAGTATGTTTTAGTCTTTCACAAAAAAAAAAGAAGGAAAGAAAGAAAAAGAAAAAGAGAAAGGAAAAACTGCAGAATCTCCAAAGGATATCAATGAGCATCACTCAAAGGACTCTACACAAAGGTGTTCTCAAAAATTTAATCCTCTACTTTCAACACACAACACAACTGCAGTTAGAAAGTGCCTTAGACTCCAAAAGATATGAGATTAAGTGTGCTTCTCATCCTGTGACAGCATGAGCAAGAATAAATGAATGTCTACCTATGCAGTTGTTTGACAAGGATCCCAATTTTGCTTAAATTGCCATTTTGTATGGATCAAAGATTAGTATTTTTCTGACTCAGTTTACTCAACTCTCAAACAATGATTTTGGAGAAGTTTCTTTTCTTTTTTCTTTTCTTTTCTTTTCTTTTTTGAGATGGAGTCTCACTCTGTCGCCCAGGCTGGAGTGCAGTGGCGTGATCTCGGCTCACTGCAAGCTCCGCCTCCCGGGTTCACGCCATTCTTCTGCTTCAGCCTCCCGAGTAGCTGAGACTACAGGCTCCCGCCACCACGCCCAGCTAATTTTTTGTATTTTTAATAGAGACGGGGTTTCACTGTGTTAGCCAGGATGGTCTCGATCTCCTGACCTCGTGATCCGCCTGCCTTGGCCTCCCAAAGTGCTGGGATTACAGGCGTGAGCCACTGCGCCCGGCCAAGAACTTTATTTTCAGGGTTCCAAACAGACCTAAGGTATGATTTAATGAGTTAGTTAACAATCAATATGTTGCAAAGGTTACACAATATAGTCACAGACTGAAAATGAAAGGAAAATAAAGCAGGAATCAGAGAACACTGTTGAATATCAGAAGTAGTCTTTTCTCAAATGCTTATTATAATACATCAGAAAAATTTTGTTAAGTTAAAGTGATGGACAAATACTAAGTTACAAAACACATGATTTCACCTATAACTAAATGCCTTGTAACAAATGTATGGAATAAATTAAAATTAGTAATTCTCTGATTTCTTTTGTTGAGGAAAAATAAGACTTATACATAATTAAATTATTATGTTAACTAAATATTTGGAAAGCAAAACTGCACATTTTTATCTTGACATCTCTAAATTTTATGTACTAGGAAAAGAAAAAATTTTGTTGATAAATGATGATCTTAACACAAGTAATGCTACAGTCTCCTCTGCTTGGCTACTGACCATATCACACATTAATTTTTTAAATGACATTAAAAGGAGCTATTCTGCATCAGATTTTTAGATAATTTCAATACATGAACAAGATTATAATTTAATACTATTATTATAAAAAATATCGAAATTTTGTAAAATATCCATATTTTTGTGAAATAGAATGAGGTATATTTCTGGAATAAATTATATTTTTATGCTTAGACAATTAGTAAGTATATCTTGTTATTATATTATTAATTCAGTAATTAGGTCATAACTTGGCTTGTACTAACATTTATTAACTATTTTACATTTAAAAAACAGTCTTTGTTTTTCATCTATATGGCATTCTCCATACGACATGCTTAGAAAAATTTACCTAGGTATGGATTCGTGATATCATCAAAAGTTAAGATTAACACAATGAATCATATAAAAACATAAATTAGCTTGTAGAACGCTAATGCCCAGACAAATAATATTATTTGTCCTTTACGAATTTATAAACCAAAAATAGTAATAAAACAAGAAGGATAAAGAATTCATAAACCCTTGATAATACTTCTGGTATTTGGTAATAATCTATAAAATATATAATCTAAATAATTATATTAAAATTATTTTTACAGTAGGTGATTTAATGGGAGTTTATCAGTAAATGTTAAAAATACTACTTTGCTGTAATAAAATATGAGACATGAACATTTCAGTTATATTAAGCTAATTATTTTATATACAATTTAAAATTTTATATTTATGTATGGCTACTTTGTATAGTTGAGAGATAGTTTATTATTAGATTTACTTTTCAACAAAGTGGCAATTGCTGTAAATATTTTGTTTAGATTTAAATTATCTTTGATTTTATTCTAACTTACTTTTTAATTTAATGTTAAATGTGCAAACTTAAGCCTCAATCCTAGTATGGTGTATATCTAATATATAAAGTTGACATTTTTAAATAATGCAAATTATAGTAGTCATGCTTAATGTTCAAAACCTACCATCTAACAAGCCAAAATTGCTCATCCCCACATAACATTACCTAGGAACCAACTACCATTGCTAAGAAGAATCCAAGCGCAGAAGTTTCTCATCTCAATGAATTTGCATATACCTTCAAATATCATTCTTATTTAGATTTTCAAATTATGTTTTAGCCAAAAAAAAAAACGTTGACTAGAAAGTACTCAAGTGAAAAATCTTTAGTTTGCAAAGTGGTTAGGAAGACAGGCAGAAAACTCTGAAGATACAATTTTCTGAGTGAACAGCACAGCCGTGGCTATTTAAGCATGAAAATAATGATGGCCTCTTCTAAGGTAGCATTGTGGAGTATGTGAATTAATGCAATAGTCATGTGCACTGTTGGAGGTAGGGTAAAAGACAGATAAATTCAACATATGTGCAGTATGGAAAAATATGAAATGTTTTAAAGTCCTAAAAGAAACCTTTGCAAATATTTTGATTGTCCCCAAATTAATTCCATCCTTTGTTGTGATCTCAGTAGGGCAACTCTATTTTGCAGTTGCAATTATTCTCCCCTTTTTTCCTCTAACACTAATGTCTAATCCATTAGCAAATCTTATTACATCTAGCTCCAAAATATATCTATCTATTTTTCATCAACTCATCCAAGATGCCATCTTCTATTTGGACAAACCTCTTATTTGATCTTCAGATTGCTCACTCCTACTCCTGCCTTTCCTATAGTCTGATCTCCACTGGGTAACCAAAATGATCCTTTTCAAATGGTGTGTTTCCTCTCCCCCAGACCTCCAAGAGCTTCCCATCTCAATCAGAATAAACTGCCAGGACATATCAGGCCCCAGAATGTCTGGCTTCTTGATGCTGGCACTCATCTCATTGCCTAATTCTCTGTCACTGATTTACTGATTTTCAGTCATTATGTTCTCCTTGCTATTTCCCAAACAACTGAGCATATTTCTGTCTGAGGACATTTTCATCTGCTGCTTCCTCTGCCCATAAGGCTCTTCGCATGTGTATGCAGGTGGCTGACTTCGTCACTTCATTCAGTTCTGCTCAAGCATCACCTCACCAAGGACTCCTTCCCTGACCATGTGACACAAAGTGGCATATACCTACCATTCTCTACTGATCTCCTGTATTAGTTTCCTATTGCTAAGGTAACAAAATACCTCAAATTTGGTGGCCTCGATAACACAAATTTATTATCTGCTGCTCTGTAGGCCAGAAGTCCTACATGGAGTGGGGGTGTGGTTCACTGGGCTAAAATCAAGTATCAGCAAAGACCGCATTCCTGTCTGGGGACTCTCAGAATGTGTTCTCTTGTATTTTGCAGCTTTTAGAGACTGGCCACAGTTCTTGACTCCTCCATATGAAAAGCCAGCTGCAATGCGCTGAAAGTCCTTCTTATGCTATTGTCACTCTGGTTCTCTTCTGTCTTTATTTTCTGAGCTGAGAAACGTTCTTTGCTTTAAAGACTTCTGCGATTATATTGGGCCCTTCAGAATCATGCAAAGCAAAAAACTAACAACAACAACAACAACAAAAACTCACTGGATCTCAAGGTTTTTTTTTGTTTGGTTGGTTGGTTTTTCTCTTTTTTTTTTTTTTTTTTTTTTGAGATGGAGTCCCGCTGTGTTGCCCAGGCTGGAGAGCAGTGGCACAATCTCGGCTCACTGCAACCTCTGCCTCCTGGGTTCAAGCCATTCTTCTGCCTCAGCCTCCCGAGTAGCTGGGACTACAGTCACGTGCCACCACACCAGACCAATTTCTGTATTTTTTAGTAGAGACGGGGTTTCACCATATTGGCCAGGCTGGTCTCGAACTCCTGACCTCGTGATCTGCCCACCTCTGCCTCCCAAAGTGCTGAGATTACAGGCGTTAGCCAGAGCACCCAGCCAAGATTTTTAACTTAAATCTGCAACATCACTTTCGCTATGTATGTCACTATATTCACAGGTTACAGAGATTAGGATGTGGATATCTTTGGGGGCCACTATTCTGCCTACCTTCCCCTGCTTCATTTTTACGTATAGCTGATATCACCATCTGTTTTATTATATGCTTCTTTGGTTGCTGTCTGTCTCTCCTCAGTCAAAGGCAATTTTCTCAAGAACAGAGTCTTTGTATGTTGTGTTTACTGATGCATACCCAAGACCTATAATGGTGCTTGAGATCTAGGAGGTATTAAAGAAATATTTGCACAGTGAAGAAATGTCAGGTGTATTTAATAACTAAAACATATTTGTGACCAGGGATAGTAGATTCAATATTGTAAACAGTAAATAGTACTCAAAATATTTGTGATTTTGTTTAAATATAAGAACAGAAGTAAAACAGGTGTGGTAAAATATTTTATGTCATATGTTTCTTAGTATAGCAGTCTGTCTGCAAACCACATCTTCCATATTCACACAAGGACGGATAGGTTAAGTAAAGAAAAAAAAAAATAAATATTATACTGAAAGTTTAGAGCCAGAAGAAATTTACATTTTTTTATATAAAAAGAAAACTGGCCAGGCATAGTGGCTCACACCTGTAATCTCATCACTTTGGAAGGCTGAGGTGGTAGGACTGGTTGGGGCCAGGGGTTCAATATCAGCCTGGGCAATATAGCGAGACCCTCATCGCTAAAAAAAAATATAAGAAAACACAATAGCAAAATAGCTTTACACTAGATTAAGCTCTTGACAAATATTTCAAAGTATGTATGGGGAAGAGGGGCTGAGTTAAACAAATGAAATGCAAACATTTCCTACTAAGAGTATTGTACATCAATGCCTTCTAATTGAAAAGTGTTAACACTCATTCAAGTAATTATCTGAATTCATTCCCTCTGTATTGTCTTAAATTTAACCTGATTGTTACTTAACTTTTGGTTCAACATTATATTTTTGAGGGATTGCACATAAACATCTAAGTGTTTTTTTCTACTGATCAGCTTCAAAAAGGCACAAGCAATCTTGCCTGCACTGTAGACTGTAAGCATCAAGGTGAACACAAAGGATAAAGTGTAATCATCATGATAGAGATTTTCAAAGCTCTAGTAATAATTACCTGCCATTCACTTCCCTTCATGACACTACATAGCCATTTATGTGTGACAATATATCGTACGGAATTTAAATACATCCACATATTACCTATTATTCATCTTGCTGTATCAACACTACTGAAACAATAAACATTCTCGCTTTCTGATCTGTGTTTGGCTGCATATTAATTTCTTTATTTTGTCAATGGCTTTATTTGTCAATTATTCGTGTATAATTTTCTTGTTAAAGAAAATTTAGAAAAAAATGAACGTTAATTAAAAGATTATATAGATTCTTGAGACAAACATGGAGGCACTTAAGAATATATATGTGGGGCTTTAGGATCAAATGGGGGGGTTAGAGGATCATAATCTCCTGTTTTAGTATAGTCTACCTTATTCTCCATGCTAGTTTTATGAAAAAAAAGTAGCCCCTGATTATGGTGACAACCGCCTGTGCCAAGCCAGGACTAGAAGTTTCCAGTGATGAGCCCAAGTTCAGAGAGCTCTCTATCCTGTGCCTCCAATTCAAACTCAGTTCTTTCCCACTATTTTCTAGGGCGCTGCACCTTACCTCTGGAATTCAGATCATCTCTATTTGCTAATCTTTCCTCTCACCCCTAGTGTAAGATGTAGGGAGCCGAATGGATTAATATCAGCATAATCATGAACTTATTCAAAAATAGCAAATATGTCTAAAAGGCCTAGGAAAGGAGATGTGAGCAGGAAAGTTCAGCTCAGGGTGGAGATTCAGAAGGGAATTTTTTTGAGAAATAAAAATGTAATAATAGTAATAATATTTAACATACTTTAATAGCTATAATGCTCTGAATATCATGTCTGTACAAACATATTTATACGTTTTATGGTTATGAGCATTAACATTAAAAGTCACTGATAGTTTTGCATCTTAAATTTATCTCTCTGTTTGGAATTCTATGTTTATCACTTACTCATTTTGTTAAATGATGCTGTTCTCTTGCTTTTCTTAAATATTGGTCATTTTCTTTTTAGTTTGGAGAAAGAAAATTTTGCTATACTACAATGATGACAACTAAAAAAATAAAATTGATAAAATGCACACTTTAAAAAATGCTACCTTTGGAACAGTATTTTTACAGAAACCAGCTCAGGACTTTCACAAGTGATCCTTATGATTTGATTTATTTTGCTCTTAATTTTAATATAGCATTTTATACAAGGCAGTATTTGAATTGCTAATTATTTTGACAAATCACCCAAATTTTGCTTTTGATTGTGTATTTTTTGTAAAGACTTCTAATTCATTTGTTTTAATTGAGTCAGGATAAGAAATGAAAAATGTTAAGCAACTATACTTAGCTTGAAATCTTGTATCTAGTTGAATAGTTACTGCATCAATTAAGTAATAAAATTTAAGATAAATTTTTATCTAAAAATAAAATGCTTCTAAATCAGAATATTTATTTTGTGTCTCAGTTTAACTGTGAGCTAGATCAAATTATGTTTAAAAAAAATTAAATACTTGATTAATCTTGGTGACTTTTCAGCCAAAGAGTATTTTTACGCAGAGACCATGGTATTAAAAAAGAATAAAAATTAAAGAAACAATGGCATAATTCCTTGTGTAAATGAACTGTTTATAAACACAGATTTTTCCCCCATGGTTTTCCTGAAAGATAGTTTGATACCAAAGAATAAACATATATAGTTCAATAGTTTTGTTTTTATTTCATTTTGCTAGTGCTAAAAATTGGACAAAAAGCTGACAGAGATTAAAGTACTTTCACAGGGACTTTGGAGATAAAACCTTTGGTGCATTGTAATAATCGGGGTCTGTTATGCTCTTTTCTAATGTATTACAGGATGAGTAAGATCTTTTACCACAACTAGAAGAGTATGTGTTTGCACGATATGTCTGATAATTTGGTTATCTACCATGTAGTGGTTACAGATATTTGCACCAGTGAAATCTCTTGACCAATTAGGTGTTAGGAGGGTAGGATTCAAGTGTTACCAGGCAATGCACAAAATGATTTCTTCTAAAAGTCAGTGGGGCAAATGGCATTCTACTGTGTTTCCCGTTTTACCCTAAGCCTCATTTTATCAAGGAAACTTCTCTGACCCTCTTTTCAGCCTCTCCCTTTCTATGTTGTTCCCATTTAGGTCAAGACCTTCATCAGCTGCAAAAGAATCAAGTGCCTTCCTTTAGGGCACATATAACGATGTACAATTATATAATCATTTATATGATTAAATGATTCTTTTCTCCTGCTAGAGTGTGAACTTTGTGAGGGTGAGAACTGAATGAGGTACTGATTTCCATTATATCCGCAGTGCTAAGCAGAATATCTGGCAAAGTGTAGCTATTCAATAAATAGCTGGAGAATAAATAGCTGAATACATAAAAGAACACAATTTTACCTGCTGATTTCATAGAAACCTTAGGCCACTGCCTTGACACTAGAGATCAAATGATACACAGAGGCAGGCCCAGCTTAATAGGAGTCAAGTACATATTATTGTCCTTGTTTACTAATGACAAATGGATTTATCAATGTTGTTTGTCTGTTAAATGTCAACATTGATTACTGTGCAAACATTCACCTGTGAAGGACCTTTTTAGTCCATGGAGCCATCCTACTGCATTGGCATTATCAGCCAGTGAATAAGCAGATAGGCTACAAAATGGTGTGCCCCAATGCAAAATGAAAACGTGGAGCCCTTTGTTAAAAATCTTAGGAAATTCTGGGATGCAATCTCAGTGCATTAAACCAAGAAGGGGCCTTTGGGAGCACGAGGCCCTATGCAACTACGCAAGATGCACATTTCTAAAGCTAACCCTGTCAATAAAGAAGAAGACATTTCTGGTTTCCTTTAGTTTTAGAATCTGACTTTATATAACTTCTTTTCCTTCTTCTGTTTCCTCTCCTTGTCTTAATTCCCTCTTCTTTTTCTTCTGTGATGTCACACTAAGGATTACACAGGGGAGGCACTGTTACAAGAGGGACTGGGGAAAGGGCAGACATTTGTATGCAAAGCAAGCTACCATCATCAATTGGAGATTATTAGAAAGGAGTAAAGAGCCCCTCCTTCTTCTGGTCTGTTCTCTTGGCAACTCCTGTGGGACTCTGTATTATCAACATACTGCTAGGATGGAACATCACAACCCAGGAGTTTTCACTGCTGTCCTTCCCCTAGGATGCTGCCTGCTGAAATGAAAACCAAAGCTGACATTCATCAGAGTTGTAATACTCTATTTTGAAACCTCTAGAGTAACTGTATCTATATTCATCACACACGGCAAAATTCCTTCCTTTCTTCCCTTTCATTTACTTTTGTGTATCACTTGTCTTCATTTGTCTCTCTCATTACATGGTTAAATCCTTATTTAGCCAAGATCGTGATTATAGCTATCCTCCACAATCTCATAAATAGCATAATATTTTGCAGTGATTCTGCATATGATATATATGTGTAAAAATAAGTGATTGCATAAACAAATCTCTCATATATGAACCGTGAGTTTTAATTCAGAGGTGCTTTCTTTTCTAGACTAAAGCAATTGTTGTAGGGCAAGGGTTCTCAAATTTTGGTTCCCAGAATCATCTTGAGACTTTTGAAAGCACAGAATGTTGATCACAGTATGAATGAAAAGTCTCAGACCTACTAAATCAGAAACTGTGACGGTGATCCCAACTTCCAGGTGAGGCTAATGCTTTTTTCCCTGAACTACCATTTCAAGAAATGTTGTTCCAGGTCATAAAATTGATTCTAGAGGTAGAATATTCATGTTCTTTTGAATTTTCCTAAGGATTGGGGTGGCCACATGCTGAGTATAGGTGAGTTTCCGAGCAGACACATTGAGGCAAGATTAAGAACTCACTATGAATGACGAAGTCGGAGATTCACTGTCTAGAGTGGGAAGAGGAGTGGCATTCCACTGAGCTTGCATATTCTTGGCGGGATATCTCAGCCTGAGCTCCAGGTTAAGAGTAAAGAGGTTGTTACAGACATTTAGAGAGGGGAAAAGGAAAGAGCAAAGGTTAGGAAGGGTGAAAAGAGATTAAAGAATACACCTTTGAAAAATAAAATTTCATCTCACACTCTTTCCCACCATTTAAATCGTAAAATTGGAAGAACAGTGAATTAAGTAGCTTAAAGAGAAAAGATTACTGTGTAGGGGACAAAAACCATAATTTCATAATTGGTTTTTAGTTGATGCAAGATTATAAAAAGAAATGGAAAAGAAATAAATCTACATGGTACCTTTATACTGAGTCAAAGTGAAGTAAGTATTAAATATCATGAGAATGATTATGTTGGTTTTATTAAACATACTTCCTAGTGTATTTGATAATCTGATTGAATAGATACTTTGAAAACTGAATTTCTTATCTAATAGTCTCACCCTCGGCCTCCCATTGCCTTATGGAACCTATGGTCTGTCCAGCCATACATTGCTGTGGTGGTCAATGTGGCTGTAGTATGTTGAGAGAATTAGTGGCCTTTTTAATGTTATGCCTATGTCAGGATCAATTTCTGACTTGAGGAATGGTCAAATATAAACCCTTCATGGTCTAGGTGAATGACATACAGTCAGAAGAGAAGAAGGAGATACACTTTCTAATAAGGAACCTAGAACCTGCATTGCATAAAATGAGGTGGGATCCTGTGAGACAATTTTCCATATGTTTCTGTACTACATCCTTTTTTTCCTGAACTGTCTTAAGGACATTGACATAAGAATAGTCTTGGATGATATAGTGTCAACATCAGACAGGCAAAAAGTTTGCATATTGTGCAGTGAATGTTTCATATACCAAGATGAAATCTCTTTTGTCAGACCCAGACAAAATAGAGACAGTAGGGCCCAAAGGAAAGGAGGTGTACACTTACATATTTGAGAATATATACTACATATACACTGTGGAATAGTATACAGCCATAAAAAAGAATGAGATCATGTCCTTTGCAGGGATATGGATGGAGCTGGAGGCCATTATCCTTAGCAAACTAACACAGGAACAGAAAACCAAATATTACATGTTTTCACCTATAAGTGGGAGCTAAATGATGAGAACACATGGTCACATAGAGTGGAACAATACACACTGGGGCCTTTTGGAGGCAGAGGGAAGGAGGAAGGAAAGGATCAGGAAAAACAACTAATGGATACTAGGTTTAATACTGGGATGATGAAATAATCTGTACAACAAACCCCCATGACACAAATTTACCTAGCAACAAACCTGCACTTGTACCACTGAACTTAAAAGTTAAAAAAAAAAAAAACTGTTTACAAGGAGTTTCAAAACAAACAAACAAACAAACCCCGCAAGAAACCCTTCGTGCATCTCCTGCTTTGCTAGGGTTATCACTAGACTGGGACTGCAGTAATTCAGATAAGATGTCCTGGGAAGGAGACTTTCCCAGTAACAAACAGCATTTTAATATATGAACTGACATCTCTGGGTTTGAACCTGTAGAACAAATGAACTCTGTTTCTAAGTAGCTTACATGAATCTCTTTTATTAAAAAGCTCCCCTCACCCTTCTTTCACCCTCACTAAATGCACTGAGGGCTTGCTATTTCATGCATTCTGGATTATTATCCTTATAACTTAATCCTGAATAAACCAAACATATCTAAAGGTAATTTCCTCTGGAGTCTTTTTTTTGAAGTTGACAGCATAATAAAATGAAGACGAGGACTTCATTGGGAACAAAATTCATACAGTATTGTTCACAAACCATTATAATAAAATGCTGCATTTCCCTAGCTGTGGTCCCTCAGCTAATATGCAAACCCATTCTATGTGCAATATCTACTTGAGTCCATCTCAGGTATGGCCCCTATGGGATATTGGGGGAAAAGAAAATATGTCTTCCTGTGCCCTTTGTGTCTTACTCAGAAGTCTCATATCTTCTGTCAGCATCCATGAAATGGGCAAGGTGATTTGTTGGTTTACATGTAAGTAATAATCTCACACAATTAATAGTCCTTGACAAATAATAAGAGAAGAAAAAGCATAAAAGTAATGAAATAGTATTTTAAGAGAGAAGAAATAAAAATTATAGTTGTGGTTTGTCTGGTGTTTTGTAATACATATTTATTTATTTTTAAATATTGCCTTTTATTAAGAAGCATCTAAGAATTCTTAGAATGGCTTTTCAGAATGGGAATATTGATTAAAACACTAGTTTTAGCACCAAAGCCTAGTTTCTGCATTAAAATTACAGCCTAAAGTATAAAAATAAAAGATTATATCTATGTTCACTAAACACAATTACAAATACACTAGATTATGATTTGTCACTTTTTTTAATATCAAAGATTTTTTAAAATTCAATTTCGCAGGCATAAAGTTATATCACAGCCAAACAATGAATTATTTTCACTTCACCAATGTTTCAAAATTTAAACTAGGCCACTGACCTTATTCAGGTATGGGTTGAAGTAGTCAGTTTGAGTAAGAATTTAATTTTCAATCAATGTAAGAATTATTCACTCTACGTTTTGTCACTTTTCCTATGAAAATAGCATTTAATTTACTTGTAAATCTTTTCATATGTAATTAAATATTTTAACATTAAAAATAGGAAAAAGACCAAGCAGTGTGATTCAGATTTTATCTAAGAAAGTATAGGGGTAAAGATAATTTTTCTTCCCCCTCTGAAGGTTTGAATCTGCTGCAATGAACTGGCAATGGACAGATTAACAGGAGAAAGACATAAAAATTTATTAACTTATATAAACACAGGAGCCATATAAAATATAAGACTCAATGAAGGGCCAGATGGTTGAGGCTTAAATAGCACAGAGGAGAAGGAAATAGGAGATGAAGGCATTTCTGAGGGGTAGGAAATGACTTTCAAGAGAAATGAATGAGCCCAAAGAACAGACAATGGACTGGGACAAAGCTCCTCTGAGTTCTGGGAGAAGTAGTGAAAAAGCAAGAGGTAGAACTTCACTGTTATCAAAGGTTGAACTTTATACAGAAAAAAGTGTCCCAGGTAATCTTTCTGAGCAACTCTCGGAAAAACAGATGGAAAGTCTGCCTGGGCACAGTGACAACTTTTAGTCTTTTCTCTTCTCTGGTGGGGTGATTAATCTTTATTGGTTATTTGATGAGATTTCTAGGGATGGGATCTTAAGATAATTGCATTTTTTATGGAAGAAGCTTTCCTCAGTTAGATGTAGAGCACCCAATTCTGTCGCTGTTTGGGGTGCCACTATGTAACCCACATGGACCTAGTGGGACTGAACAAAGAGGGGGTGAACGTGGGAATAAAAGACAAGAGGCAAAAAAGTATACTTGGAAAAAGGGGACAGGGTGCATCTTGCCTCTAGTGGACAAGGGCCCTGAGCTTTACACAGCCCTCCATATTAATTAGGCAAAAGATAAAGTGAGGCTGTTCCAAGATAGCCAAATAGAAACAGCTTCGGTCTGAAGCTCCCAGCATGATTGATGCAGAAGATGGGTGATTTCTGCATTTCCAACTGAGGTACCTGATTCATCTCACTGGGACTTGTCAGACAGTGGGTACAGCCCATGGAGGGCGAGCCAAAGCAGGGTGGGTCACGCCTCACCAGAGAAGTGCAAGGGGTCAGGGGATTTCCCTTTCTTAGCCAAGGGAAGCCATGACTGACTGTACTGGGAAAATCAAGACACTGAGCTAAACACCTAAACTGAAGCCACCTAAACACTGAGCTTTCCCAATGGCCTTAGCAAATGGCACACCAGGAGATTATATCCCGTGCATGGCTCAGTGGGTCCCACTCCCATGGAAACTTGCTCACTGCTAGTCCCAGATTGAACTGCGAGGTGGCAAGCCTGGCTGGGGGAGGGATGTCTGCCATTGCTGAGGCTTGAGTAGGTAAACAAAGCAGCCAGGAAGCTCGAACTGAGTGGAGCCCACCACAGCTCAAGGAGGCCTGCCTGCCTCTGTAGACTCCACCTCTGGGGGCAGGGCATAGCTGAACAAAAGGCAGCAGAAACTTTTGCAGACTTAAAAGTCCCTGACTGACAGCTCTGAAGAGAGCAATGGTTCTCCCAGCATGGTGTTTGAGATCTGAGAATGGACAGACTGCCTCCTCAAGTGGATCCCTGAACCCTGTGTAGCCTAACTTGGAGACACCTCCCAGTAGGGGCTGACTGACACCTCACACAGCCAGGTGCCCCTCTGAAACGAAGCTTCCAGAGGAAGGATCAGGCAGTAGTATTTGCTGTTCTGCAATATTTGCTGTTCTGCAGCCTCTGCTGGTGATACCCAGGCAAACAGGGTCTGGAGTGGACCTCCAGCAAACTTCAATGGACCTGCAGCTGAGGGACGTGACTGTTAGAAGGAAAACTAACAAACAGAAAGGAATAGCATCAACATCAAGAAAAAGGACATCCACGCCAAAACCCCATCTGTAGGTCACCATCATCAAAGACCAAAGGTAGATAAAACCACAAAGATGGGGAGAAACCAGAGCAGAAAAGATGAAAATTGTAAAAACCAGAGCACCCCTTCTCCTCCAAAGGATCGCAGCTCGTCGCCAGCAACGGAACAAAGCTGGACAAAGAATGATGAGTTGACAGAAGTAGGCTTCAGAAAGTTGGTAATAACAAACTTCTCTGAGCTAAAGAAGGATGTTCGAACCCATTGCAAGAAAGATAAAAACTTTGAAAAAAGGTTAGACAAATGGCTAAGTGGAATAAACAGTGTAGAGAAGATCTTAAATGACCTGATGGAGCTGAAAACCATGGCATGAGAACTAAGTGATGCATGCACAAGCTTCAGTAGCTGATTTGATCAAGTGGAAGAAAGGGTATCAGTGATTGAAGATCAAATTAATGAAGTGAAGCAAGAAGAGAAGTTTAGAGAAAAAAGAATAAAAATAAATGAACAAATCCTCCAAGAAATATGGGACTATGTGAAAAAGAACAAATCTACGTTTGATTGGTGTCCCTGAAAGTGATGGGGAGAATGGAACCAAGTTGGAAAACACTCTTCAGGATATTATCCAGGAGAACTTCTCCAACCTAGCAAGGCAGGCCAACATTCAAATTCAGGAAATACAGAGAAAAGCACAAAGATTCTCCTCCAGAAGAGCAACCCCAAGACATATAATCATCAAATTCACAAAGGTTGAAAAAAAGGAAAAAATGTTAAGGGCAGCCAGAGAGAAAGGTCGAGTTACCCACAAACGGAAGACCACCAGACTAACTGCAGATCTCTCTTCAGAAACCCTACAAGCCAGAAGAGTGTAGGGGCCAATATTCAACATTCTTAAAGAAAAGAATGTTCAACTCAGAATTTCATATCCAGCCAAACTAAGCTTCGTAAGTGAAGGAGAAATAAAATCCTTCACAGACAAGCAAATACTGAGAGATTTTGTCACCACCAGGCCTGCCTTACAAGAGCTCCTGAAGGAAGCACTAAATGTAGAAAGGAAAAACCAGTACCAGCCACTGCAAAAACATGCCAAATTGTAAAGATCATTGATGCTAGGAAGAAACTGCATCAACTAACGGGCAAAATAACCAGTTAACATCATAATGACAGGATCAAATTCACACATAACAGTATTAACTTTAAATGTAAATGGGTTAAAGGCCCCAATTAAAAGACTCAGACTGGCAAATTGGATAAAGAGTCGAGACCCGTCAGCGTGCTGTATTCAGGAGACCCATTTCACATGCAGAGACACAAATAGGCTCAAAATAAAGGGATGAAGGAAGATCTACCAAGCAAATGGAAAGCAAAAAAAAAAAAAAAAAAAAAAAGCAGGGATTGCAATCCTAGTCTCTGATAAAACAGACTTGAAACCAACAAAGATCAAAAGAGACAAAGAAGGCCATAACCTCATGGTAAAGAGATCCATTCAACAAGAAGAGCTAACTATCCTAAATATATATGCACCCAATACAGGAGCAGCCAGATTCATAAAGCAAGACCTTAGAGACCTAAAAAGAGACTTAGACTTCCACACAATAATAATGGGAGACTTTAACACCCCACTCTCAATATTAGACAGCTCAACGAGACAGAAGCTTAACAAGGATATCCAGGACTTGAACTCAGCTCTGCACCAAGAAGACCTAACAGATCTCTACAGAGCTCTTCACCCCAAATCAACAGAATATACATTCTTCTCAGCACCACATCACACTTAATCCAAAATTGACCACACAGTTGCAAGTAAAGCACTCCTCAGCAAATCAAATGTAAAAGAACAGAAATCACAACAAATTGTCTCCCAGACCATAGTGCAATCAAAATAGAACTCAGGATTAAAAACCAACTCAAAACCACACAAGTACATGGAAACTGAACAACCTGCTCCTGAATGACTACTGGATAAATAGCAAAATGAAGGAAGAAATGAAGATGTTCTTTGAAACCAATGAGAATAAAGACACAATGTACCAGAACTTCTGGGACACATTTAAAGCAGTGTGTACAGGGAAATTTCCAGCAATAAATACCCACAAGAGAAAGCAGAAAAGATCTAAAATTGACATGCTAACATCACAATTAAAAGAACTAGAGAAGCAAGAGCAAACAAATTCAAAAGCTAGCAGAAGGCAAGAAATAACTAAGATCAGAATAGAACTGAAGGAGACAGAGTCAGAAAAAAAACCCTTCAAAAAATCAACGAATCCAGGAGCTGGTTTTTTGAAAAGACTAGCAAGACTAATAAAGAAAAAAGAGAAGAATCAAATAGATGCAATAAAAAATGATAAAGGGGATATCACCACAAATCCCGAAGAAATTCAAACTACCATCAGAGAATACTATAAACACCTCTAGGCAAACAAACAAAAAATCTAGAAGAAATGGATAAATTCCTGGGCGCATAGACCCTCCCAATACTAAATCAGGAATAAGTTGAATCCCTGAATAGACCAATAACAGGCTCTGAAATTGAGGCAATAATTAGTAGCCTACCAACCAAAAAAATTCCAGGACCAGATGGATTCACAGCCGAATTCTAACAGAGGTACAAAGAGGAGCTGGTACTATTCCTTCTGATACTATTCTAATCAAAAGTAAAAGAGGGAATCCTCCCTAACTCATTTTATGAGGCCAGCATCATCCTGATACCAAGGTCTGGCAGAGACACAACAAAAAAAGAGAATTTTAGACCAGTAGCCCTGATGAACATTGATGGTAAATCCTCAATAAAATACTGGCAAACCGAATCCAGCAGCACATCAAAAAGCTTATCCACGATGATCAAGTGGGCTTCATCCCTGGGATGCAAGGCTGGTTCAACATATGCAAATCAATAAATGTAATCCATCACATAAACAGAACCAAAGACAGAAACCACATGATTATCTTAATAGATGCAGAAAACGCCTTCAACAAAATTCAACAGCATTCATGCTAAAAACTCTCAGTAAACTAGGTATTGATGGAACGTATATCAAAATAAGGAGAGCTATTTATGACAAACCCACAGCCGGTATCATACTGCATGGGCAAAAACTGGAAGCATTCCCTTTGAAAACTGGCACAAGACAGGGATGCCCTCTCTCACCACTCCTATTCAACACAGTGTTGGAAGTTCTGGCCAGGGCAATCAGGAAGAGAAAAAAATAAAGGTATTCAATCAGGAAAAGAGGAAGTCAAATTGTCCGTTTGCAGATGACATGTATGTATATTTAGGAAACCCCACAGTCTCAGCCCAAAATCTCCTTAAGCAGATAAGCAACTTCAGCTAACTCTCAGGATACAAAATCAATGTGCAAAAATCACAAGCATTCTTATGCACCAATAACAGACAAACAGAGCGCCAAATCATGAGTGAACTCCCATTCACGATTGCTACAAAGAGAATAAAATACCTAGGAATCCAACTTACAAGGGATATGAAGGACCTCTTCAAGGAGAACTACAGACCACTGCTCAATGAAATAAAAGAGCACACAAACAAATGGAAGAACATTCCATGCTCATGGATAGGAAGAATCAATATTGTGAAAATGGCCATACTTCCTGAGGTAATTTATAGATTCAATGCCATCCCCATCAAGCTGCCAATGACTTTCTTCACAGAATTGGAAAAAACTACTTTAAAGTTCATATGGAACCAAAAAAGAGCCCACATTGCCAAGACAATCCTAAACAAAAAGAACAAAGCTGGAGGCATCACGCTACCTGACTTCAAACTATACTACAAGGCTACAGTAACCAAAACAGCATGGTACTGGTACCAAAACAGAGATATAGACCAATGGAACAGAACAGAGGCCTCAGAAATAACACCACACATCTACAGCCATCTGATCTTTGGCAAACCTGACAAAAACAAGAAATGGGGAAAGGTTTCCCTATTTAATAAATGGTGCTGGGAAAACTGGCTAGCCATACGTAGAAAGCTGAAACTGGATCCCTTCCTTAGACCTTACACAAAAATTAATTCAAGATGGATTAAAGACTTAAATGTTAGACCTAAAACCATAAAAACCCTAGAAGAAAACTTAGGCAATACCATTCAGGACATAGGCATGGGCAAGGACTTCACGACTAAAACACCAAAAGCAATGGCAACAAAAGCCAAAATTGACAAATGGGATCTAATTAAACTAAAGAGCTTCTGCACAGCAAAAGAAACTACCATCAGAGTGAACAGGCAACTTACAGAATGGGAGAAAATTTTTGCAATCTACCCATCTGACAAAGGGCTAATATCAAGAACCTACAAAGAACTTAAACAGATTTACAAGAAAAAATCAAACAACTCCATCAAATAGTGGGCAAAGGACATGAACAGACACTTCTCAAAAGAAGACATTTATGCAGCCAACAGACACATGAAAAAATGCTCATCATCACTGGTCATCAGAGAAATGCAAATCAAAACCAAAATGAGATACCATCTGGCATCAGTTAGAATGGCGATTATTAAAAAGTCAGGAAACAACAGGTGCTGTAGAGGATGTGGAGAAATAGGAATGCTTTTTCACTGTTGGTGGGAGTGTAAACTAGTCCAAACATTGTGGAAGACAATGTGGAGATTCCTCAAGGATCTAGAAATAGAAATACCATTTGACCCAGTGATCCCATCACTAGGTATATACCCAAAGGATCATAAATCATGCTACTATAAAGACACATGCACACGTATGTTTATTGTGGCACTATTCACAATAGCAAAGACTTGGAACCAACCCAAATGTACATCAATAATAGACTGGATTAAGAAAATATGGCATATATACACCATGGAATGCTATGCAGCCATAAAAAAGGATGAGTTCATGTCCTTTGTAGCAACATGGATGAAACTGGACACCATCATTCTGAGCAAACTATTGCAAGGACAGAAAAACAAACACCGCATATTCTCACTTACAGGTGGGAATTGAACAATGAGAACACTTGGACACAGGGCGGGGAACATCACACACCTGGGCCTGTGGTGGGGTGGGGTGGGGGATGGGGAAGGGATAGCATTAGGAGAAATACCTAATGTAAATGATGAGTTAATGAATGCAGCAAACCAACATGGCACATATATACCTATGTAACAAACCTGCACGTTGTGCACATGTATCCTAGAACTTAAAGTATAATTTAAAAAGAAAGAAAAAAAAGAGATAGTGAGAAGAGGGGTGGAAGAAGGGGTCAGCTGCTCAGTCCAGAGTAGGCTTGCAAGACTGTATTCTCTAGACATCTCAGTAAATAACCTCGGCACCAGGGAGTGATTGCTTCCAGCAAACCTTCTGTCAGCAGGAGCGGTCATGAGTTTGCTCAATTCCTGCATTCACAATAAACAGTTCACTGTTTGATCATATAGCCTCCAGTGGAATGATGAGTTGGTCACATCCCAAGGGACTTCGGCTCCCTGCATATCCCCCTTTCGGTTTATTAATTAATTGAAAGAATGTAAGGCCAGGCTGGGCAGCTCTCATTCTCTGATTGGCAGTCCATCTGATTTTACAGACTATAAACAGAAGACAGAGACAAAAAAACATTAATCCAAGAACTATATATAAGATGTTAATGTGGTGCCTTAGATAGGTCTAGGGGTTGAGGCTCTCCAGGCCTTGCTGGAATTCGGTCCAGTCTTCTAAAGAAGGCTGAAGTACTTGAGTTTTCCTATTTAAATCAAGAATTTTGTTTTATAATTCACCAATATCAAAGGTGATGTTGGATGTGGAAGCTCCCTGCAGATGGTCTTTCACAAGGTCCCATGGATACTCACTTTGGTTATATTCTAAGTTGGTTACACAAATATTGATGTGATTAAAATGACAATGCAATTGCTGCTGCATTTGCAAGCTTTGTACTTGTTCCCCTAACCATAGAACCATGGATTTTAACATTGCCACTTCAGTTTGTAGGTCAGTGTTAATTCTATTGTGAAGTAGCCATGCTTGGTTAGCTGTACGTGTCCAGTTATCCAAGTACTGAGCTGTTTGAACAGAACTATGCAAAGCTACAGAAGATATCACAACAGAAGTTATTAGTGTGACCAAGGAAACAAGAGCAAAAATTATCATGTCCAAGGCTCTAAAGACACGATGAGTGAGCTGAGTTAGAAGTTTCACAAAATGCAAAGCAGGTGTGGCAGCCCAAGTCTCTGGACAGATTAACAGGAATCCCTAGCCCAGGGATGCAACCTAAAATCATCAAAGTAGAGATATTATGTGTTTTCAATGTGCTATGATTAATGCAGTGTTATAACTGGCAAGATCTGCACGTCAACTGAATATTGTTTACCTGGAGCTGGTCCTTCTTAGCAGCCAAAAAGACATAAGGATTAAAAACACAAACTGTAAATTGAGTGGTGATATTCTTTACAAATGTAACAGTAGAACTGTGTTGTGACTCTGGTTGGCCTTCTCTCTGTGTTTGCACTCAGGCTCGGCTAACTCATGGCTCATACTGGAGGGACTAGGCCCATGGCTGGCCACCCTGGGTTCCTCCAGTCTCCCATTCCATGATTGCACACATCCTGAGGGCACCCACATGGCTTGTCCATCTCCTGTGAAAACACAAGCATACCCTCATCTCCATGTCAGTAAATCCACCGGAACTTTCCATCGTCCTTCTTCTGGGGATTTCCATAACACTTTCGGGTAAACTTTCCTCTTTTCCTCTAACACTTGCCAATGTCTTTCTGCTGGAGTCTTACCATCCATACCAGGAGTCAGAAAATTTACAGTAAATAAGGCTAAATGTAGTTTTGATTGAGGTGGTAGTTGTCCTCCTGTACCCCCTTTTTGTTTTTTCAACATGCGTTATAATGCTTGATGTGCCCGCTCTCTAATGCTTTGTCCTCTAGGATTATAAGGAATTCCTGTTTTATGGGTTATAGTCCAAAGCTGTAAGAAATTTTGAAAAGTATGACTAGTATAAGTGGGTCCATTGTCAGTTTTTAATTGTTTAGGTGTCCCCATATGAGCAAATGATGACAGACAATGTCGCTGTAAATGACCAGCTGTCTCACCTGTTTGGCATGCAGCATGCAGCATATCAGAATAAGTGAAACATATTAAGCAGTTCTGCGTCCAGTGTACTTTTAACTGTAGCACTTTCTATGTGACTGGCTACATTTACAGCATAAGCTGAATCACAGACTATGTTGATAGGATCTGAAGCTGTGAGCTGTAAAACCTGAATGACTGCAATTAGCTCTGAGCCTTGAGCTGAAGCACCAGAGGTCATTATTGCTTTCGGACCTTTTTGTAATAACAAACACTGGAGAATTCCAGGAGCTAACTGACTTTTCTATATGTCCTGCATTCAGCTGCTCCTTTACCAAGAGATTAAGTCGATCTAGCTGCTCCTGTGTTAGGAGCCATTTATCCACCCACACAGTTTTGTCACTAAGCCATTCTAATGGTAAGGCCGTGGGCGGAGGAGAAATATCAATGACCCCCCGCCAGAAATTGTGACGTTCTAGCCCTTTTCCATCTGTTTTTTCAGTACTGATATCGGGTTAGGATTTCATGTAGAAACTTCCCCAAACCTTTTCCACTCTGATATCTCATGTTCTTCAACATTTTAAATCCTGGGTTATCAAAGTATTCATTTGTAAGTCTCCTATTCCATGCTGTAAGTAAGTCTTGATCCCATAAATTCATGGCTATACTTGCAACATAAGGCTGAAAAGTACATGACTGTCCATCCGGACCAAGGCAAGGTAAAATCTCAGCGCTCTGTTGAACACTCTGAGCTGTTCCTACTCCCACTAGAGATGTAGAAGTTGATTGCAAGGGCCAGGATGGGGGCCAATTGTCTTTAGATCTTACTGATACATCAGCTCCCATATCCATAAGCTCACAAAATTTCTTTCCTTTAATTTGAAATACACAGATGGGTCTATTAGAGGCTATGGGTTGGGATAGATAGATTTCCTGTGTAGTTGTGCTCCCAAATCCTTTATTTTCTCATTTCACCTTTCATGGAGAAGACTAGAATTTGCAGGGAATAAGCAATAATTGAGCAACATATTCTCTCGGTTCAAAAATCCAAAGATCTTGTGACATTAAAACTACTTGAATGTCTCCTGCATAATTGGAGTCAATCACTCCTGGGAATACAGTAATGCTTTGCAAGTTAAGGCAGACTTGCCTAAAACTAATCCCATATATTCTGTTGGTAAAGGTCCCCAAATGCCAGTAGGAACTTTGATAGGTTTGTCTCCACCAACTAACGGGATTCTTTCTCTGGCAGGTAGATCTAATCCTGCACTTCCTGGTGTTCCTGGGGTGAAGGAATCGATGTGCCTCCGGGAACCCAGCCCTGAAATGGGGTTGAGAGCTGGACTGGGAACGCCCCTGTCTCGTTTTCCAGCAGGGGGGTGCCGTTTTGATGAAATTTTGAGTGGCACTGATTAGCCCAGTGATTTCCTTTGTTACAGCAAGGACAAAGTCCTTGCGTTTTTTTTCTGCTGGGTGGGGCACTGCATTGTAAGGTCCTTTCTGTCCTGAGATCTGGTGGCATTCCTTTATAAAAGCTTTTCCACAATTATAACATTTTCTCATTTTAGGGTTGGATCCTTGGCTCCTTTTAGATTTGTCAACTGCTAAATTAGCCATTGCTTGTGCTAACATTGCAGAGCCATGAAGCTCAGTTCCTACATCTTGACAAGCTCTGAGAAAATTTCCCAAGTTTTTTGTATGCCTCACCAGTGCCAGTGCATGTTTACAATCCGCATTTGCATTCTTAAAAGCTAGAGTTAAGGTTAGCATTTCTGCAGCCGCCTCTTGTAATCTTGACACTTCACTGCCTCTTGTAATCTTGCAAGAAATTGCATATAGGTTCCTGCGACCGTTGTATGATATGTTAAAAGGATTTTACTGGGACTCGCTCTTCAGGAATTGTGGCCCAGGCACGTTTAGCGGCCTGTGCACACTGCTGATGAGCAGTGTCTGCAAGTGCCATTTGACGTTCCAGGTCTGAATAAGGGCCATTACCTAACAGCATATCCTCTGTAATGTCTGTGTGTCCAGCAACATGGTTCTGTTTAGCCTGGTCTGCACACATTTCTTGCCAATTTAAATTCCATGTCAGATATGCACTAGCGGACAAGCAAGTTCATGCCAAGTATCTCACATCAAAGGGTAAAAATGCATAGCACCAAACACAGATTCTAGCAATCCTAAGGTGAATGGGCTCTGTATGCCATTATTTACCACAGTCGCTTTTAATTCCTTCAACAACTTAAACTCTAGCGGAGTGTGTTCATGAATAACCTGCTGTGGATTGTTTGGATTAGGCCTTACGGAAATAGGAAAAGCGTGAGGTCCTAAGGGCTCTCCAGCTATGACAGCAGAGCGTAAAATTATTTGTATTGGGGTTTCTATTTCTGCTACCGAAGGAGGCGGTACAGATGTTTCTACAAATGGAGAAGGTGGTATAGGCCAATTTTTATCCTCCCTTTCCTGTTTTTTATTTTCAGTTGGAGCTGTGGGTGGAACAACAGATTCTTTCTTTCTTTCTTTTTTTTTTTTTTTTTTTTTTTTTTTTTTGAGATGGAATCTCGCTCTGTCACCAGGCTGGGGTGCCCTGGTGCAATCTGGGCTCACTGCAACCTCCACCTCTCAGGTTCAAGCGACTCTCCTGCCTCAGCCTCCCGAGTAGCTGGGACTACAGGCACATGCTATGACACCGAGCTAATTTTTGTATTTTTAGTAGAGACGGGGTTTCACCATGTTGGCCATGATGGTCTCGATCTCTTGACCTCGTGATCCGCCCTCCTCAGCATCCCAAACGGCTGGGATTACAGGTGTGAGCCACCACACCTGGCCGATTCTTTCAGATTTTTAGACTCAGCCTGCTGTCCAGCAGAATAATAAGGAGATAATGGCAGAAGTACAGTACGAACTAAACTCCAAGTGGAGAAAACAGAAGAGTCAACTTTATGAGGCAAAAGAGAAAGTGAGAAGTGGGGTGGAAGAAGGGGTCAGCTGCTCAGTCTAGAGTAGGCTTGTGAGACTGTATTCTCTAGATGTCGCAGTAGATAACCTCAGCACCAGGGAGTGATGGCCTCCAGCAAACCTTCTGTTGGCAGGAGCAGTCCTGAGTTTGCTCAAATCCTGCATTCATGATAAACAGTTTGCTGTTTGATCATACAGCCTCCAGTGGAATGCTGAGTTGGTCACGTCCCAGGGGCCTTTGGGCCTTCGGCTCCCTGCAGTTAGATAAGGGAAGTTCCAGAGAGAACACTTGAGGGGAAGAAACAAGAGAAGGTGAAGAAGTCCTTGCTTCTGAGGCAGTTTCTAAGGCCTTTCAATTTCCTTTAATTGAAACATGCTCAGTACACCAAAGCACCATACTTTGAGGTATTGTTCTCTGCGTTCCCAAAAAAGTCAAGAAAGCAAGCAGTAACCTTTATACCTAAAGCACAGAGAGCATAGTAACTTCTAAAGAGAAGGGGCATGAGACAAAAATAAATTTAAGATCATATGTTCTTTAATTAACTATTGATTGTCAGAATGATTACATTTTTTAAAACATAGCTAACTATTTGACACTTCATTTTTTTCTCAGGATTGATTCTCCCTTTTTCCACCCTCAAGTTATAGGACTTTTGAAATGTTGAGATATGATTAAGTAGAAAAATATCAGTAACAGTTCAGTTGCAGATAACAGAAACCGCTCTCACTATTTTAGACAAATAACAATTTAATTTTGAATGATGTGTGGTTAACAACCTAAGTAGAAAGAGAGGGACTAGGTGAAGATCAAAGTACTTCTAGCTCCCAGGATCACACATTCATTGTCCTGGTTCAAAAAGCTCCCAGGCCGGGGCGCAGAGGCTCACATCTGTAATCACAGCACTTTGGAAGGCCCAGGCAGGCGGATCACGAGGTCAGGAGTCTGAGACCAGCGTGGCCAACACAGTGAAACCCTGTCTCTATAAAAAAATACAAGAATTAGCTGGGCACGGTGGCAGGCACCTGTAATCCCAGCTACTCAGGAGGCTGAGGCGGAGAATCACTTGAACCCAGGAGGCAGAGGTTGCAGTAAGCTGAGATCATGCCACTGCACTCCAACCTGGGTGACAGAACTAGACTCCGTCCCCCCCTCCCAAAAAAAAAGCTCCCAATACTGCCCCCAGATTATGGTAACTGCAAAACCATGCTTCCTCAGCTACTATGGTAGTGAAATAAATACCTTGCATCTTGCCTTTCTGCTTATTTAACTCTGTTTCTAATTAAAGATGATGAGGGCATCTGAAAAACTGAATATGAATCACCCTCCACTCCTACCTCAAACACTAGCTGTAAGGAAAATGTGATTTTTAATTTTCCAAGTCTGTACAGTCCTTTAAGGCAGACTAGAAGGAGTTTAGCAAAAATGTTGTCAAACAGACTATGACAAATTATTATTCTGCCAACATATTTATGGAGAGTGAAGCAATGTGGACACTCTTTACTTTTGTTTCATAGACTTAGTGAGATAACTAGGTTTCAGTAACTTCCTAACAGAAAATGGAAATTGATATTATTTTTCATAACATTCAAAGAAACCGAGGAAAGGGTGGCTAAGAAGCTAGTGTTTTAAAATAAGCACATAGCTGCTCAGCAAGTAAAGTCTTGTGCAGTTAAGCTTATTGTTTAGCAACAGCATGACAACTTCTAGGCATGTAATAGTTTCATACAAAATGGAAGGTTGTTTCATTTAATTGATTTTACTCAAATTGGATCTTTCACATTTGCAATGAAGAGATCAGCCGTCATTGAGTCCCATTATTATATTAATAATAGAATGCTTTCAAATTTTCTTAGTGCTGTATGATTGTAGTAAGGTATTTTCTGTGCAATTTCCTATTTAGTTTTAAAAGTTGTATATAGAAATATATTTGCAAAAGTTTTCATTAACTTTTATTTGCTTGTAGTTGATATATGGCCTCTCCTCATATTAAAGGACATTTCTGCGAGATATTGACCCATTCATTTCATTGAGAGTTTACTGTCCCTTTTACATTTCATTTATTCATTTCACTTCCCACGTGCTACCAGTTTCCTGATATTGGTAACAACAGGAAAACCCTATCTAATTCACAAGACTATTTCACATAAGATTTGGAGGGAAAATTATAAAGAAATAGAAAAACTTGCAGAATCCTAAGTTAACTCATTTATATTGTGAAATAAAGAAAATGAAAAATAATATTGTTTAATAAAACAAAACCCATTGTCAGAAGTTTTACATTTTAGTCAATGTTCTGTTTATTCTTTATTTTAATTTTAATTACTAGGGCGTATATTCGATAGGATGGCATTTGATCTCAGATATAGAGTCTTTCTAAGATGAGCATTAAGAAAAATGTGAATGGGTTTAATTCATTTATTGTTCAAATGTTTTCCTCTTCATTCTCTCACATCTATAACTAGATCCCCTGAACTTTGGAATACATGGATGCTTTGCCTATTATTTATTAATTATATTACTTGATCAAAAAAAGAAAAAATGCAATAACTGACAATTGTTTCATAAATGTTAAAATATTATTAACGTTATTTTGTATAGATACCTTTCACTAGCATTATAACATAATTTTAATTTTAAACTAGAATAAAAATTTGCTTTTCTCCAAAAAAGTACATTATACCAAATATACTACTCTATAATACATGAATATAATAGACAATCCTGCTGTTTGTACCCAATTCTGTCACCTCCCTAATAGCACCAGTGACTTTAGCTGGGCAAATAGTGAGAGTAAATACCACATCCCCAGCCTCCCTAGCAACAATGTGTGACCAAGTGTCTAAATTCCACCCAATGAGATCATGAAAGTGACATGTACATGTTCAGGGTCACATTTTTCAAAGGACGGGAGCAACTTTCTCTTGTTCCTTTTATTCCTTTTTCTAGAAGGTAGATGTGTGGTGATCTCTCCTGGATCATATAAATGAGTTCAATTCCTTAAAAACATTGAGCATCAAGACAGAAGGAAGCTGAGTTTCTGATGACTAGACAGGGCAGAATAAACACACCAACCAAAAACCTATGTAAGAGAAGCATAAACTATATAATTCAGAAAATGTTATTTTGGGAATACATCATTTCAACATGTATTCTAATTAATAAAATAGCAATTTACCTCAGATCTTAGCCTTTGGTTATTTTCTCGACCCATTTAAATGTAACCCCCAAATTCTTCACATTATGTAGTCATACATTTTGAAATTAGCACTAAACAAACATATGGAAATAGTTAATTTAATAAGAGAACAATGTGTGTGTGTGTACCTAACCTGCTGCATTTAATTAAATATTATAAATTTCTCTTGATAGCTAATTTAACATGTCAATAACAGTATTATATTGAATACACACATATACCAGGCAAACACAAATACACACAAATATACGTATCAGAGGTAAAAAACTGAATATCTATTTTCACTTGACTCTGAAATTAAGGCACCCTGTCGAAGAAAACATACAAAACATAACAAAAACTATGGGCAAATGATACGGTGATAATTCAGAATTCTAGCTCTATTATTATCAAACTTTAGAGGGGCCATAAAATTTTCCTGATCTTAATGCCATCGTCTGTAAAATTAAGAGTTTCAAAAGTCCATTTCTGCTCTAAATGTCATTTAGCTGTTCAGCTCAGTGGAAATGTTTGGTGTTTTCAAATATAAAACTAATTGGTAAAATTCATCATATAATAACACTGTGATACATTAAAACCTTTTTGGAATCTAATTTTGAATCTCCCTCTCACTTCTTTTTTGCCCCTCAGATTGAGTTTCTTCCTTTTTCATTGTGCTGATTATGTAAGGGGCCTGTTGACTGTTAGAATGATCAAACAGGTACAGAGGAGGCAGTATGGCAACCGGAAACAATACTAAACTGGAAGTAGGAGTGTGGTATTACAGCTTTGACCCCGCCTCCAGTTAGTCCTGTGACAATTTAACATTCTGAGCATTTTTATCTGCTAAAGAAATAATAATAATAACAGCCCAAAATGATCTTCGTAATTTCTCCTCTAGCTTTAAAACTATAATTGACATATATGTATTTATATGCATATATGTATGTATATGTGTATATAATTTATTTATGGATGGCACTTTAAAAGGAATCTACCTGTAGCCGGAAAAATGCAAAGATGTTAATTACTTTGTGGAGCTATACTGACATCCTTTGGTAAGGTTTGGTTGATTGCAATTTGATGTGGAGATTGATAAATAGCGAGACAGTTAGATGTTTAAGTAGATAGAACAATCCAAATGTATTTACATCTGTCCACACACTCATTTGGGTATGAAACCCGTATTTATGAGAAAAAACAACGTTAAAAAGAAAAAAAAGGAGACTGTGTCAAGTTCAAAGTCTAAATATTTTAATAACACTAATTACATATTTACATTTTTAATAAAATATTTTATCTATAAAGTATTAAAATGCAAAGATTAGGCAGAGAAGACTGGCTCGCGGACATTCCAAAATGATGAGCGAGGTATGCACTCCTGTGACAATAAGCAACAAGAGAAGGGATTTGGAAAATCAAGCCGAGAAAGTTCCCTGAAAGCAAAAAATAAACATTTAAAATCACAACGAAAAATCACTCTGGTAACATATCAAATCTGGTTGCAATTTGACTTGGCGCTCTGATAATACTTGGATTTCGGTAGTCTGGTGTAAGGACGGTGCAGGAATATATATTCCAGAAGAACTATCTTTTTTTAAAAAAAATTGCAAGAAGCAGTCCTGTTCCTGAGATTGTATTACGGACACAGGCGGATTAGATTGGGCTGATTACCTTAGCCTTGAAACAGAGAGTCTTTCTGCCCTGCGGGGGAGGGGACGCCTTTCAAGCAAAGCCCTCCTCTCGGATGCGCCCTCCCCTCGCATTCACTTGCAAATCGCTGTGTGCTCGCAGAAGCCAGCACTTCCACAGTCTCTAACCTTCCCATGGCGAGTGCTGCAGCTCTATCAGCAGAACCTTTCTCTCCGTGTGAGGAAGAGCTTTTTTCCCCCCTTTCCTTTTTTTTTTTTTTCCTTTCCCCTTAATCAGAAGCACTGAATGAAAGCCAATCAGAGAGAGCTCGCCCCCGTTTTCTTCGGTTCCCTGCTGTCCAGAGTTAAAAGTGATGCTGAGAAAGAGCTTGAGTTAGATTGAAGTAGAATCAGTGATAGAAAATAACAGCCGAAAACAAACAAAAAGGGGACATAGTGACAATTTCTCCTGGGTTATTTTGGCTGGAACCAACTTCCATTATCCAGAAGCTGATAAAAAAGGTAGGAAGACTTCACCTCTTTCTTTTAACTCCGTTAAGGTATTATATATTCCTCCACTTGAGGGGTGGGGGGGGAGAGGGAGGAGATAAATGTTTGTTTTTAAGTTGTGTTTAGCAATTATTTCAAAATAATTATCTTTAATACTTAAATAAGCATACAACTCTATATATTTAATTCTAGAAACAACTGCTTCGAATATCTATATAGGCAATGTAAAGCTGGATAAATTATATATTATGCTCAACAGTGGGTCATGATATTAGAGTTTGTGAATTCATTCACTTGGAACAAATGCTAAAAAATATGTTATGAAGTGAATTTGTCATGCCCAGACTTGTTCATTTTTATTTTAAAAATCAGTTCAAGAGATAACATTGTTACTGTGAACTCTAACATCATCTAACATTACTTTGCATTCCATATGAATGGATTCACTCTGCACTTATTCGTAGTCATAGTTCATTGTACGTTCAATATAAACAGAAATGACAGGCAGAAGACAGATTCCTTGAAACTGTCAATGGTCACTAAGCATCTACATAAATACAATAGATTGACATTCATCAGAAATAGAATAGGCAGAATTCTTATTTTCAATTTTATATCTGAGTCAGAAGTATTGGGGGGAGAGAGGTAAAGAGAGGGAGAGTAAATGCATGTAGTCAGCAGTTGCAGCATTTATTGTTTCTGCTGCAATAAAATCCATATTTTATGTGTTGTTAAATTAATGCAGCATATTGCAAGTATAAATGCATGTCCCCAACAAGTAACTATTGATAGCACTGTAACTATGGGCAAAAGCAGTAGTCTGAAATTGTTTTTATGCCACTAAAATAAAAACCTACTGTCTCCTTATTATGAAAAAAGGGGAGTCTACAGGTACAAAGACAAATATTGTTTTAAAAATGACCTATCATCTTTTGCTTTGAAAAAACAGATGTTTCCTATAATTGTGGTCCTTCATTCCTTCATTCCAGTGAAAGCTTCTATTATCCAAAACTGCACATCCATTACTTCTCAGCTCTTTGGAGATACATTATTTTTTCTCCTCTTTTTTTTTTTCTTGAAGGATCTGTATTAAAAATAATCTGTCCTTCTGATGTTGACAACTGTTATACTTCAATGCATATGTTAGTAGACTTTCTCCCTCCATACCATCCCCCTCTCTATCTTCCTTTAAAACGTAGCTACAAGAGCTTCTCTGTGGTGAATAACACTTGGCAAGAGTGTGCTCATTTTTTAGGTCTGGTATGGTGAGGATTTTTAATTAGTAGAACTTTCATGAAAACATTATGTCATTGACAGAGCCGTATGTTCATTTTTAGTTAAAAGTGATGAAGAAGAAAGAAAGAGGTTATGTCCTAGAAACACAGGTAAATGCTAAGTCGCATAGATAATCTGCACCCCGCTCCCCCGAGTGTACTAAATGTGGCACATATGTATTCAATGTGCAATGCATAAGGAAGTAATGGTTTATTTGGGGAGGGATGTGGTGAAGAGACTGGAGAGTGCACAGGTGTAAACAGCGTGGATCTGTGCCTTAGGGACACGTCAGATGCAAACCCATTCTGATGATAAAAATATAAAGAAATACTTCTTTCACTTTTTTTTTTTTTGGCTGTGTTATTAAAGTGTGAGTCAATGTCTGCTTTCATTAAATCAGATACTTCTTGGGTTTCAAATACTTGCTGTGAACAAATTGACTTCTCTGGTGAATGCATACGCCTTCCCTGACTTCAATCAAAGAATAGAATTTCATACACTTAAAGGTTTGGGGGAAAAAAAACAACAAACAAAACCAAAATCTCTGGGAAATGGGAAAAAAGAAGGTAAACTGTATGAGCATCCACCTACATATGCATATGTGTGAAGTCAATGGTTAAATTGTTTGGTACCTGATTAATGCTCTAGGTGATGTTCCTTGATGTTTATAGAAACTGTTTATTAATTAGAACAGTGCTATGCAGGTAATCAATTTAATATTTCATTGTTAGATTTTTACCCACACTGGGATTTTCTTTAAAAAAGAAAAAGAGAGGATACAAAACTGATTTTAATTTAGAGTGATATTTCTGACACGTTATTTACAAAGTTAGTGTAATCTGGAAGAGGTATGTTTTTTTTCTTGTTGAAAAATAGACTACTTGAAACTGGAAAGGTTAATTCCAAAATATATGAATCTTGCATAAAAAATAGGGTGAATTTCTTGACCTTTACTTAATTTTTTATATAAGCAAATAACTGAGGCAAAGTATATACTATCTGGGGGATTTCTGTGCTTATGACTGATTTCCTATGTCTCTTAACCTACTTTGCAGTAAGTGATAACACGTCTTACTGGAATATGTCATTTTTATACCAAATCATTCCACTAGGCTGCAGCACAGCAGCAGTATTGGCTCTGATGATGCTGAATCAGCAGCAAAGTGAACCATATTCTTGTTAAGTGTTATTATCAGTAATAGTGTTTCATAGTAAGCAATTAATACAAACCAGTGATGCAAACCCAACTATCTCTAGTGTAGCCCTTGGGTATTAAAAGCATTAGCCATATTATATTCTGATTTCTACTATGCAAATTACATTCTAATACTGCTGTCACATTAGAAGTACTTGTAAAATACTGAAATTATAAATAGAAAAACAGTAAAATTATTTATGCCAATTATAAGTAATTTTATGCAGATATTTGATCTCTAAATTTCAGGTCTATGTTTGAAAACTCTACTTTCAATTAACCCAACATATTATCTGGAATAGGGTTTCAAAAGAGACAACTTACTAACCATATTGTATTTAACAGTCATGTCTGGAATAGATTGAAGTTAAAAACCAAGTAGCAAGAAACATTTCCTCATCCTTCTTAAACGTATACTGAGCAATGGTAAAATTGATTAAGCGTTATACTAAGTACAATATATGGTTCATATTATGATATTTTAAGTAGTAAAAAGAAGCGTTCTCGGAATGACACTATAGATGCATATTTGAAAAACTGAAAGTTAGCACAGACAAATCTATTTATCTTTTCTTGACACTTACACAGACCAATGAGTTCACAAAAATATATTGTTTTGTCATAATTACAATAATCTGAAATCTACAGAAAAAATACAAGTCCTAAATTTAAAAGAAAATCTGCCTTTTTCCTTTCTAGTTGAAACCTTTGGATGATATTCACGGAGCATTCATATAATTTTCTGCATTTACCCCAATAAGTTCAACCTTCAAAATTACAGATTTTTTTTTCATGCATAAGAACAAGAAACAATTTCAAACAATTACCAAGCAATGCCTGTTTTCTAAGATAACAATATCAGCTCTGGGTCGCCTGTGCCCTCTTCTTTTCTGACTGTAGAGCAGTCTCACCTCACTTGACATTTTAGTATGAGCCCTTGAGCCCTTTTATAATCCATTTCTCCTGTCTTTCTTGAATAGAAGGGCACCTAAAGCGTATAAGTCCATTTTGCTTTTCCCATACCTTCTTGTCATCACTCACTTGAACTAACTGTAGACACATATTGTCAAAAAATAAGACCCATCACATTAAATTTGTAGATTTCTGGGAATGTATTATTCTTAATGAAATATTAACAATGATGAGTTGAAATAATCTGACCTGTTTAAAAATTATTAATACAACTTTTGCTTAACTCTCTTATCAATGCAACTTCTCACAAAAAAGTAACTCTTGATTTTTTTAAGAATGAAAGTGCTTTATTTTCATCAGTTTCTTTATATTTTTATCTGATTTCTTTCTGGCAATGTATGTGATGACCTATACACTTTAAGAGACATTGGTTAAACATTATGGAACTAAAGAAAGGGAAAGCTGCAAATTAAATAAGAAGGAATACAATAAAATCACATTTTACATCATTTTAGGAAATAAAATGTAGCATTCCTTCAAAATAATGCCTGCCTGTGGGAGATTGAAATGCCTTCATATAAAAATGCCTTTCAGTAAAGGGTTTCGTATCCTTAGAGAGTTTGTCAGAAACATTATAAGCACTTTACGAAATCACATGATTTCAATTTTCAATCTTTTCTTTTTTTTTTTCAAGAAAGTAGTCTTGATTCAACATACTCTATATGATGTGATGATATAAATTAAAGTTAAATGACATTTCAAGATTCAGGACAGAATTAAACAATAGACTATAAGATATAATACAACATTGCTTCACAACAGGAAATTCAGCAATAAATGACATTTCTAAACACTTCAGAGCCCTGCTGATCCCCATAAATTTAGCAGGTCATCTTCTCCCTCTCTCTCTCTTCTACCCCATCTCTCTTTCTGCAAATCTATATCTATTTCCATCTCCCTCTCTTTTTTCCTTTTCTCTCCTTCCTCATTTAAAACAATTACAAAACTCCTTGATTAAATTTCCCATGTGCTTTAAAAAAAATTGCCCTGTTGTAAAGTTATATTTCTGTAAATCTTGTGATTTTTATGGCCAGTATTCTATCATCTGCCACATTATACATTATATTTATTACACTATCCTTTGCATTATAGCACAAAGTATATGACAGTTCAGTTGGCTAGAATCTATTCTTTTAAATGAAAGCAACTCTTTTATAAATTTTATAACACTGAGGCTTCTAAGGAGTTGAAATTGGCACCAGTGTAGTTTACTGCACTAGCAAGCCAAGTGTGGGAATTCAGCACTTATTATTGAAATGACTCCTCCAAATTATCAGAATGTAGAATGTACAGACATGAATTATTATGCTCAATGCATAAGTTATTGATTAGGAATCTTTACTGATTTACTATAAGAGAGGATATTGAAATGGTTTGACAGAGCCCTGATTTTTAAAATAAACATAAATTACATGTTTCTAGAAAGCAATGTTTCATTAGACATGTTGATTCTTCTTTGCTGCAAGAAACAAGTATTACCAGTTTAGAATCTAAAAATGAAATCTGGTATATAATGAGCAAATGTTGTAAAGAACTACCATTGCTTTTGTTTCCAGTTGGAAATTTGGGAAACAGAAACTGTAACAATAATTGAGGTAGGCATAATATGTAACAAAATGAAATAATCAATAAGCTGAATACATTAAATATTCTACCTTGAGTTATACTGGGAATTCTCTCTATGGTTAATGTAATATGTATAAATACAAGAATTAAAGTTGAAATTCAATATCATTATCTGAATAGATCAAAGGCAGCCCATATATTTGCCCTAGTAATTGGAAAATTTGGAGTAAATTTTGTACATAATATTAATACAAACTTTTAAAATGTAACTGTTTCTCCTTTCGTAAAAATATAGCTCCACTCTCAATAAAATTAAGTCAAATAAACTTCCTTTGAATCCATTGTAAATTCTGGGACTTCTGAATTAAGGAATATTTTCATAATTACTGAAGCGAACTTCAAATTTAAATGAGGCACCATAATGTTTCCAAATAATTTGTCTTCTAAAGGTAAATTTTAAATTAGTAGGCTTATTTTTTGATAGATTTGAAAATATTTAGCTACCTGAGGAATTTTAAGGGTTTTGTGTTTCCATATAAATCTTCAACCTCTAAAGTGTATTTATCAATTATTTTATATAAAATATTTTCCTTAAATAAACCAAAACGTTAAAATTTTTATACCTCTAACTCAAGTGGTTTAAATCTATTGCTAATAAGATCAAAAACATGAATTACATACTTTCAAAACCAACAGTGTGATATTGATTTGCTTTGGTGATGACCTGAAGAAAAGAAACTATTGGAGTAAAATATATGTCAACTTATTACATCAAATAAGAAGCTGATTATCCAATGATTATCTATTAGCTTAGTCAACTATAATATATTTTCTATTCTTTTTTGACTTCTTCTTAAAGCATTATAAGTTGGGGGTTAGTCCTGCTCTGTAGTCTTGAACCATATTTTGTCACCAGAGTGATTTTTCAACATGTAGTCCCTGAAGAGTGAAAAACAGCAACATGCAGATTTATTCTGCCTGCATTTGGCTCCCTAAATTTGAATATTTCTCCATGAGTAGAAACTTACAGAAAATCTTTATTTATCTACCCCCTCAACCAAGACTTTAGTTATTCCTTTGGAGATGAGTTAAAAAATGAATCCTAAGCACAGACATATACTTAGAGGCACTGTCACTTTGTCTCTTTTTCCTTTTTTTGTTTTCAACTACTGAGTGAAGAGTGGAGGTTTTCTACAGAATTTCTACACTAAAGAAGTGACTTCCCCCCCTTCTTGCTGTATGCAATTAAAAATGATAAATGAGAACTCTACTTTTTCTGAGACTTTCTTGTCTTCTAGCTAACTGTCTTTTAAAATATATATCCTAATTTTCAATAGTTAATACTAGATAGTTCTACATAATATTTTAAAAATTAATTAATAAGCCTTCACTAACTTGGGAATAGGCATAAGTACTTGCTATCGATACTTAAAAAAACGGCAGAAATGAAATACTCCTAAAATCTAAGTTGAGAAAAATATTTTCTTTACTAATTTTTTTTCTCCCCTTGGACTTAGATTTGCCATCATATAGAGTATGAAATCTGAAATCCAGCCCAGTGGAGATGAGAAAATAGATGAATGGCAACCATAATCTTGACTTAAGAGCAATGAAATTAATCACTTTGCTTTATAAGTAGAGGCTAGATCAAGCCTGTTTCTAGGTAGGTCGAAGAAGAAAAAAGTGTGGATGAGGGAGAGCCTTGTACTTCATTAAAGCAAAATGAAACTTTGCATAGGAACCGCTGTTTCCAGAAACACCCTTAGGGAAATTTGAAATTTTTGATAGTACTTAGGGGCTCAGTACTATGAATTCAAAATTCACAATCATTAAATAACTCTCTTTTGATTTTAGGCTATCATATGTTGCTATTTATTATTATATGTGTTATACTTTTTATTTTGCAGCTTCTGTTATTAATTTAACTGGTATCCTGTTATCTATACAATAATTTGCTCAATTATTCTTTAGCTCCTAATTAATTTCACTCATTTTGGGGGAAGTTACTGTGACGCATTCCCTTCTGTCACACCTGGAGATACAAGGATGAATTTAGTACAAATTTTGTCCTTGAGAAGAGGCAGGTTCTAATCTGAGATATTTATAATTAAATGTAATATAATTTACAATGGAAATATCAGTAGTTGTGCTCTAAATGTTTCCATTTTTATGAAATAGTAGTAGAATTAGATGGTAGAACATCATGGGCAGTCATGTATTCCTCCACCTACCACAGTCTTAAGTTTTCATCTTCCATTAGATATACTGCTGAAGAAACCCCTCAAAAGCATTTTATTTATTCATCCGTTCTTTCATTCCTTCATTTGCCAAGTATTATTTAAGTGCCTACCATAAGCCAGACACTGTGCAAGCATCCAGAAAGACAAACTTGGGAAGACAGGGAAAGAGGGAGAAAGAAACAAAAGTCTCTGCTACTGTGAGCCATTGTATGAATAATCACATGACTTGTTATATTCCAGCTTTGATAAATACAAGAAAGATAAGTACTAGGTGCTTTTAAAGTGACTAATATAAGGATCTCACTTATCTATATTTTTAAAGCTGCATTGTTGCATTTATAGCCATACCATATCATTAAAGAAAATATCAGAGTTAACAGTTTGGTTCAAGATAACATTTTTGTGTAGCCTAAGATTTCTTTAGTTAATCCCTGAGAATGGATTTTGAATTGGTGCTTCCCTTAGGAGCAGCCTTTTGGTTGGTGATCCGTGGTGCACTTCAAATTTGCAACAGCCAGTTATCATCTTGCAGACACAGGGGACTATGTGGGATAAAGCAAGGGCCCAAAGTTGAGACTAATATACCCATCCCCATCAAGAAACCTACAGGAGAATTATGTATCAGGAGGCCAAATGTATCCCAAATTTCTATTGCTAATTTTTTTGTTTTCTTTCTTTTTTTAACTTTTATTTTAGGTTCAGGGGTACATGTGCAGGTTTGTTATATAGGTGTATTGTGTGTTATGGGAGTTTGGTATACAGAAAATTTTTACGAACAGGAGCTTCCTTATTCCTAAAGTAATGAAAATAAGCACTTCATAGAAGCCACTGTGTTTAAAACTTGGTCACTGTGAAAAAGACTCTTCTATATAATAGTCTGTTTTTGTGAGGACACCAGAGGAAGGTCATGTTTAATAGGAGACTGCACAGTGATAAGCCTACATTCTAGAAGCACTGAGATTTCCTTTCTTAGAAAATGCAATCAACCTAACGTAAGTGCTCTCACAAGGTCCTTTGACAGATAAAAGCATGGATCGTGGCACCAGACTGTCTGGATTTAAATCCTAGCTGTGCCACTTACCATATGTTTCATATTTAATGTCACTGGTAGTTTTTTCTATCTGTAAAATGGGGTTAATAATTATACTTACATCATAGGACAATTGTCATGATTAAAATAAGCAATTACTATAGTGTCTAACAACAATGCCTAATACACAATAGGTGTTCTAGTGCTATCTATTACTGTCATTTGTATTATTATTAGATGTTAATTCATGTGACCTATGCTTAATGAATATTGAGTGTGTTGTATTTTTACCACAGCACTTAATATCATTAGGGCTACAACTTTAAAATATTTAAATATTTTAACTTGTATTATGTAATAATTTTGTACTTGAAGTGAGAAATTCTTGGTGTTTTAAGTCTAATTCTCTTACTAATTCTACGGACAATGTAATAAATTCTTCATTCTGAATTTTATTTTTGGAAAAGTGGGAGTTTGAACCAAAACATTTCCAGGCACACAGTTGACTTATCTATTATTATAATTGGAAAGGGCTCATAAGTCTATGATTGTAATTGGAAAGGGCTCAATATAAAACTTTTATAAATATATTCATTCTCTAATGATTGTGAAAATGTCAGTTGCATAAAGACTTGAATGTAACCTGAAAGCTTAAATTGCATTCTCAGAGAGGCATTGCATGAACTAGGGAATTGATGGATACGAATTTTGTAAACGATAGGAAAGACTCGAGAGGAGGAAAAATGCATAAGAAAGAGTGAAAATGTCAGTTGCATAAAGACTTGAATGTAACCTGAAAACTTAAATTGCATTCTCAGAGAGGCATTGCATGAAGTAGGGAATTGATGGATACGAATTTTGAAAACGATAGGAAAGACTCGAGAGGAGGAAAAAAGCATAAGAAAGAGTGAGACTAACTGTTGTGAGGTCCATGAGCCACATAAACTCACTCAGGTGAAACATGAGCCATTTCTGAATACACTGCAGTAATGTTTCCTTTCTCAGATTCTCCTTCTTGAGGTCAGAGTAATGAGAATTAGAAAAAGAATGGTGAACAGAGGCAGTGCATTACAGAAATTATTCCATTAACGTTTTGATACCTATAAATCTCAAGAATAATTCTGCAGTCTATATTACAAGCTGAAAGGTCAGTGGACTACCGATTACCTAGACGAGGTCCCTGAAACTGTCTGATGAAGACATAGAACCTGCTGCAAAATGTGAAAAATTTAACAGGTTTTATTTAGATCATTCTTTTCATTCTTCACATTCAAGGTGATATGAAGATCAATTTGAAACCACTGTTTCTGTTTTTTTTTTTTCCTTTTTTGGCTCTATTTATATGTTAATTTAAAAAGCATCTGGAATGGTTTCTACGGATTACATAAACACATGAAAACATACATTGAGGTCATAAAATATACATTTATATGGGTTCATAAATACGTTTTTAAAAGCTTTATTTTAAAAATCCAGGATTATATCACAGTTTTTTTCTTTCAGTTTTATTTATAGCTCAGGGATAATTAATATATTATTTATACATTCACATACTGGTAGGGCATACTTAGCACTTCATCTTGTCCAATAACTTGTAAAGATGAGGTAAGCTATAATAGAGACTCCTAAACCTAGCTGAAAGTTATACTTTGGTGAGCATAGTAAAGATAATGCTCGTATTTGCCATAGCTATATATTTACATTTATTATCTCTTTAATCATGTATTATCTGCTTAATCAGAGTCACAGTTATCTTTTTCTTATCATCTTGATTAAATGCTGTGGCCATTTTATAGGATTGTTTTTTTTCACAACTTCACTATAATATTTGGCAAAATAATTTAACCTCATGGCTTATTCATCAGGATGGCTAATTTAAAATATTCTATTAATATTACACACATTTTACATTTAGTATAATTGATCATCTAAATGTATATATACTTTTAGAATTGGACTTTACAAAGGCTAAAAACTTTGACATACTTTCTCTTTAAGTTTCACATTCTTTAATCATACTAGAGAAAAAGTTTAACTTGCATCTATTTTGCTTTCATTTAGTTGGAAGTAAAGTGAGAATAACATTGTGCAAAATTAGAGGAGAAATTAATTTTTAAAGCCCAAGAAATGGTTATTGAATAATTAATTATGCAGACTACTGAAATAATCATTTCTTTTCAAAATCCTTCAAATTCTTTAAAGGTTTTCAACCATTTCATGTGTTTTTTTGAATGTCTGAAGTTTAAAACAATATAAATTAGGCTTCACAACGTGATCAGAGGGTTGAGATGAATTTACGTTTTTGAAGTATTGACCCATTTATAGGGTAAATTGCTGCTAATATTTCTGGTAAAATTCTATTCACTTGTCCAGAGGGAAAATAACATATTTCGGTGTTGAGAGCCACCTTGTGGTCATGTTGAGAATTATTGTTCTATAGTACACAATGTTTTCTGGCTTTAGACGTTTTTCCAAGTGAACATTGCACTTGGAAGCATTGAAACAGATGTGAATTTACATTAAGGGTTATAAGATGACATTGAAAATGAATCATTTTTAAATGAATGCCATTTAATGTTTACATATTGACATGAATTATAGCAAATGTTTTACAAAATCTGCATGAAATCTTTTAAACAATATTTTTGAGGCAAGATATCATTTTTAAACTAAAATGTATTACTTTGCAGTTACAAGTAAACTCTAATGACTCATACATTTAACCTTCTCAAGGAAAAATTCCTTTCAGAATCCTCTGGTGTTCAACACAAAGAAACCAGGGGCTGAATTATTGTTATTTTTGCATTTTGTAAAACTTAAATGTAAATATGCTGCCTACAAGAAAAGCAGAGAACTAATACCAGCAAACTCTGGTCATTGAATGCATTTTTCAGTGGGTTCATTGGAAGTTCAAAGAGACAAATTTGTTTACATTTTTTTTATACATTCTAAAACAATTCATTTTTACTTTGTGTAACATACGTATTCACCAAATATCAAGCCTCTTTGACTGGGTTTTTTATAAAGTAGTAATGTACTTGCAGAAGAGGAAGACCTATAATTACTGCTTGTAATTTTACTAGTATGTACCTATACTTAAAAAGAAAATAATACAATTATTTTCTAGAAAATGAAAATAAGCATTGACCTAGGTATTTAAGTCAAGAATAGTCATTGATTGCTTATGTGGTCTTACTCCTCTTATTTTCTTTACTTTATTATCTGAAGGTAAACATGAATAAATTTGATCAAAATAAATTGTCTTTGTATATAGCTCATAGGAATATATAAGCACAAAATTTTTCCCTACTTTATTTCTATATGTATAACTATATCTATAGTGGTATCTATTTATCAATCGATCTGGATACATTTATGTTACATCCTAAAGTATCAACATTGTCCTCCTCATCATCATTATCATCATCATCATCATCATCAAAACCTGAGTAAAACTTCAGTTGTGGTGTTGGACATGGAATAGCTTAATCACAATTACAGGATACCATGTGAATAGGTTCTGTATCACCCATCTTTGGGGCACTGGGATGATTTGATTTAATTAACAGAATAGCCCTAAATGGGAACTAAAGACAAATTTATAAAATTGCATACAAATCTTATAATAATGATCTCTATGTTATGTGTTAAAGCTATGGTTGTCCATTGCTATTAGGCAAATTATTTTCTCTATTTTGAATCTGCCATACTGCCCTTTAATATAGAACAAGTGGTCAGAGCATGCCATTTCTCATGCACAGCCCAATAGTCTGACTGAAAACAAAGATTACTTTGCTTCCCATTAAACCATGCTCCTTCTGTCAACAAAAGTGCTTCTATTCTGAGATATATTACTATTGATTTGCTTTTATTCTCAAAAGACTGATGGAGTTTTTTTCTCAGCAGTGCTGCACACTAGGTATTATTTCAAATGAATATATAAAGCATTTATTTCAACTTCAAAGGGGAAACAGAAATTGAAATTGAAATGGTGTATATAAGAGTATAGAAATGTTTAAAATTTGCATGCAACCTTCTGATGATGTCATAGTCATATTTAGTGCTATATTTTAGGGCAAAGGTTTTTTGCAGAATAAATAGTAAATGGATCATAAATATAGAAAGAAGCATATGAAAGCACCTCCCAAAGTAAGTAAAAACCAAGAAACAACCCAAAATAATTTTAGCTAGAAATATCTACTTCCTTCTCAATTTTTGTCTAAAATATAGCAAACCTGTTTATACAAGATAATTATCCTCAAGTGATAAGGGAGATTTTCATAGTCAACCATCACCCTGGGACCATTTTTGAACTGCTTTTCATTTTCCACTAACTTAAGGCAAAAAATGTATTTTCTGTAAATTTCAACTTTTTTCCTCTCAAATAGAATTATTTGACAAATGATTTTAATTCTATCTGTATTTAAAAAATGATCCTTTCCTTTTGATTCCAACTCCACACTAAAGAAGAGGTTCAAATTACATCTTTCCTTCACAAGTCAACAACATTTTAGAGTTTTAATATATATATTATAAAGTGTGCTAGTAACTTGAGAAATGGATGTAGATGAGATTTTTTTGTCCCCTTTCTCAATGAAATGGAAATATAGTAGGAGAGAGCCACGTTTAAAAGTAAGTACATTGTCAATTATTTAGTGTTCTGCTTGCGATATGATTGGAGTTTCAGGAAAATGTGGATGAGGGAACATGGTCTTCTACTCATGGGAAGCTGAAGAGGGACTTGAAAGGTGAGTACTCTTTCACTGGGTATTAAAAGATGAAGCTGATGAGCCAGGAGGCATGGCTGTCTGCAAATCCAAAGACCTGGCTGAGCTGATCTGCATGCCTGTATCTCTTCCCTCTCCAATTCTTCCTGAAATATATTTTTCTTAATTGATTTTTTCCCCACAATTATCCATTCAGTGATATGTACTGATTTTTCATTATAAAGAAGGCAACACGTTAGGCAATAAGATATGATAAAAAATAAGCCATATTCAGACCTCCTGCCCTCAAATGACTTCTGGTGTTTTCCAGAGGTCAGAAATTACAATATACTATGAAAATTTCACAGAAAAGTAACATACAGGATATTATAAGAACTAAAGTTGATGACATACAGTGTTAGCTTTCCTTCAGGGATGAGATTAACCTAAGTCCTTAAGGCAGTGACACTTTGTGTTACTCACTAGCTCAGTATTTACCCTGGGTACAATCCCATTTCCAGAGGCAGTACTGCATAGTGGTAAATTGCTCTCACTGCAGACTTGAGGCAGATCTACTAAGAGTTTTACCACTTCCACCAAGGAAGGAGTTTGAAAATTTGGCCAAAGTATTCAATCTAGCTACACCTCAGTTCCCTTGTCTAGAAGATGGAACAATAATGTTGCTGCCTCCTAACTTTGCTGAAAGGATTAAATGAAACTTACAAAGCACTTGGCAGAGTATTTTTTTTTGCAATTACAAATGCCTATTAAATATTATCAGCATGTATTACTGCTTACTAGGTAATAGTCAATTTTTTTAATCTGTTCTAATACTTTCTTCATTGTAGCTTCTCTGCCTCTCTTGTAATTTGCCTCATGATATTGACAAATAGACCAGTTTTTATTTCTAGGAGTTCTGTTTATTTATTTTATTATTATTATTTCAATCTCTCTCATTTTGTTTCTATTGATCAGTCTGCCCTCGGGTTCTGGCTGCTAAAACTCACACTTGAGTTTTCAAATGTTTCTTTTTCCTTAAGATATTCTTGATATTCTTTTTTTTTTTTTTTTAAGATGATCTCTTTTTGTCACCAGGGCTGGAGTGCCGTGGCACAATCTCAGATCACTGCAGCTTCCGCCTCCTGGGTTCAAGCAATTCTCATGCCTCAACCTCTCACATAGCTGGGATTACAGGCAGAAGCTACCATGCCAGGCTAATTTTTTCTATCTTTAGTAGAGATGGGGTTCCACCATATTGGCCAGGCTGGTCTCAAACTCCTGACGTCAAGTGATCTGCCGGCCTCAGCTGGGATTACAAAGTGCTGGGATTACAGGAGTGAGCCCCTGTGTGTGGCCTCCTTAAAATATTCCCTGAGTTCTCCAGCCACTAGGGCTCTCTGGCTTTGGAAAACTCATCACTCTTAATTTATACCTCTCTTTACTGTCGATCATCATCTGCTCTGAGTTGTTTTTTGCATGCCTTATTCCTTTTGTATATTTTTACTTTCTTAAAACCAAGATCATTCTGATTTTTATTTACATCCCCAACTCACAGCCTAGTATCTCCCACATAGTAGCAGATGTTCAGTGAGGAAACTCATGCACCATATAAGTAGAACATATATTATGGTTTGCATTTTACAGACAGGTATACTAACATTGAGTAATTGAAAGATTAAATGACTCATGAGAGACACAAAAGGTGTTTTTCTTTCCACTGGAAAATATTCTATATTAGTCCATTCTCACACTGCTATAAAGAACTGCCCATGACTGGGTAATTTATAAAGAAAAGAGATTTAATTGACTCATAGTTCTGCATGGCTGGGGAGGCCTCAGGAATCTTACAATCATGGCAGAAGAGGAAGTAGGCATGTCTTACATGGCAGCAGGCAAGAGAGCCTGTGAAGGAACAAAGAGGGAAGAGCCCCTTATAAAACCATCAGATCTCTTGAGACTCATGCACTATCATGAGAACAACATGGGGAAACTGTCCCCATGATCCAGTCACCTCCCACCAGGCCCCTTCCTCAACACCTGGGGATTACAATTTGAGATAAGATTTGGGTGGGAACACAAAGCCAAACTCTATCACTTCCTTCTTTAAGCTAAAGCAATTATCTTTTTAAGAGGAGAAACTTTAAAGCAGTTTTTTTTCTTCACCTGATGAGTTTGCTTTTTATTTATTTCTTTGTTATCCTTTTCACTTAATATATACAACTGGCCTCACCCTAAGACCTATTGAATCAGAATTTTTGAAGTTATGGTATGGTGAAATATATTTTAAAATTCTTGCTGGGTGGTTTGGGTAGATTCATAATTGTAACTAGAAAATACTGAGATGTTTTTATATCCAAGCTCATAAACTGAATCTAAAATCAGTTTTAAAAGAGAAAGTTTTCTAAATACATTGAAAATGACAAGTATTTATTCCTTAAAGTAGGCTTATGGTAGAGGATATTACTCATTTTGAGAAATACAAATTATTTGATTTTTGTTAAACTGATTCTTGCTTTATAGCCATTTATTGTTTTAAACACATATTCTCTACAGAACTTTGCCTCAATGAGATGAATATAGTAGAAAAACTAAGAGACATATCTTTGAGAAATAAAATAATGCATGGAAGTACTTGGTGGCATATAATTAAGCACTATAAGAAACGAATAAAGTACTAGGATCATCAGTATAAGTAAGAAAACTGAAGTAATGCTTGGCTTGGAAAATACATAGAATGTGTGTGTGTCTGTGTGTGTGTGTGTGTGTGTGTGTGTGTCAAGGTGGGGAGCGGGGTGGGGGGGGCGGCAAGTGTTCTAGAATTTGTATTTCTGTGAGCAAAGGCAGGAATGAATATGGAAGTTTAATTGGTTACTAAGACACCAACCTGGGTTTATGCTGAGAAAATACATTTGTGAAGAAACTTGAATACAAGCTTAAAGGGTTCAGACATAATGAAAAAGTTTATAAAAGAGGTATTATTTAAAAATTTCACTTAAAAGAAGTTCAAAGAGACAAATAGGGTAAAAAAGTATCAACCTCTGTTCTTGTCATTTTACATGCATGGCTGTTGGTGTTAATATACACCCAAATACTTTCAAAGTCAACCAGAAGCTTTTCTTTCAGATAAGCCGACCTGAGGGGTGGCAATGGAATTAAACTGTTCTCCACTCCTAGCATTTTTCTCATATGTGCTCACAAATTCATATGTATATTGAATTACCACTTGGTGTCTGCAGTTTGTCTCCACTACATTTCCAGTGAAGATAGCTTTAAAATGTCTTTAATATGTTTAAAATATCATGGTTTTGGGTTGATTGCTGTATAGCATCTTCTCCCACTGATGAAAGTCTAATTGTCTCTAGTCTATGCTGTTGGTGTTCTGGTGTTTTGTAGCCGCTAAAACTACTGATGTTCACACTGATGAGTCTTTGATGTGCAAGATAGTTTTGTTTAAATCATACCTCAGTTCAGGCTCATCTGTGTAACCAGGGGAGGCAGTATTTATTTCAAACTCTGTGGTTTTTATTTCCCCTGGGAAAACAATTTGCTCTTAATCTTGTAGCTGGTCATCAGCAAAATATGATGTAGAGCTTACACCTAAAATTCCCATTCCTGTGTTATTACCACGATGCCATAAGAGTAGTCAAAGTTTTCCTCACTATAAAATAAAAACTTGGACAATATCAACTTCATGAGTTTATTTTTTTCTAATTAACTGAGATAATACATATACTATATTAGTGTGTGTGTGGCGTGCGTGTGTGCTGTGCAGTACATACTGTTCGTATATGTAAAGCTATCGTTGTGCTTTCACTAATACTGATTATATGTAGATGTTTTTTCTGCTATTAAAATGTGTTAAAGCAAATAAATAAAGGATAGCTATTATTTATTGAGCACTTTCTACATACTAGACAATGTACAGAGTGATTTGCCTCTAGTATTCCCTTTCATCCTCATGTTAAAGGAGGCAGGTGATATTATCATCTCCATTTTACAAACGAGGGACCTGAGGCTCAAAGAAGTTTAGATGACTTTCACAAATCACAAAGCTAGTAAACAAGAGAGCCAGAATGAAACTCTTATAATATGGTCCCTGCTCCTCCATTCGTAACCGCTATTGCATGTTTAAATATACATGCATGTATTCCTGAGAGGAAAAAATATGTGATCTATTATTTCACTCTATATTTTTCTTTTTATAAAATTTCTATTTATTGGTGACTTATTTTTTTCCTTTTCAATGAGAGAAAATTGCCCTAAAATTAAGTAGGATTTAAGCATTTAAGAGTACACCAAATATGTCATATTTTAAACACTGTTTTATTTTATTAATATGTAAAATCGAGTTGTCGAAATGTATTCACAGTAGTGAGAAGATTAGTATTATGTGTAAGAAAATGTCACTAAAACTAACTTAAAAGTAGCCATAAATTCCTCAGTGAACTTCATGTCATCCTTTTAGCATTATATAATAGTTTACTTTTTAAAATGTTACTGGTAGGGCAAATAAAGCATATGGTGATATTACTTAATGTGCATAGAATATTTTTAATTATATACAGGAAAATGGTCACAATGGTTGCTTCTGGGTAGAAGGGTAAGGGATTTGCATGTCTGCATCTAGAGGATTGTTTTTCACTGTACTTAATTTTTTAGAAATTGTTTTTATGAGTATGGATTAATTTTTCAATAAAATTATATATATACACTTATATATACACATATATACACATATATATACACTTATATATACACATATATATACACTTATATATATATACACTTATATATATGTACTTATACACACACACACACACACACACACATATATATATATAGGTTTTTGAGACAGAGTCTTGCTCTGTTGCCCAGGCTGGAGTGCAGTGGCATGTTCTCCGCTCACTGCACCCTCTGCTTCCCAGATTTAAGTGATTCATGCCTCAGTCTCCCGAGTAGCTGGGATTACAGGTGTATGCCAGTACAGCCAGCTAGATTATATTTTTTAATAAAAATTTACTATTAGAAATCTACATCAAAGTTATGATATAAAATAGTGTTTCTCAAACCTGATTCAAGTTGTATGACTTTGGAAAACTTTCATGTGATACTATGAATGTGTTTAATATAATCATGCTTAACGTGGGTAACTCTTCTATCAAATTACTTTCATGTTTTAGGACCTGCTTTTCCATCGTGATTATTGTCCCTTTCATGCCTCCTTGAGGCCTCTGAAAAAGGAACAGATAAAGACATACTATATATTTTATCAGTTTTTGCCAAATAAGCTTCAAATTATGTAATGGTGAATTATGAGAATTATGTAAAAATTTTCCCATATAGAGAAAAAATGAATCAAGAGTTTACTTCAAGCCTACCAATGTCTAAAACTCTCTCTGTTAGCTCCCAGTGCCTATTCACATAGTCGTCAACCACATTGTTTTGGGAACCAAAAGAATCTGATCCATGAAATTAACATGAATTTGAATGGCCATTGGTTTTGTGATTTGTGTTTGCAGTTATTTTTATTTTTTGCGTTGACTTTGTAAGCATTATAAGCACAAATGTTTATATGATAAGCTTTTAGGCTTAATTTACATGTGTTCCAGCAACATTATTCTACAATTAATTCATATTAATGTAGCAGTAGGAATCATGATAAGAGAACATGATTCAATGTAAGAGCCCAAGATAAATAAATTCTCTCTTAAAGGATAGTAAAATTTTTTCAGATCATGATTACTATATGAGAGTAATATATAATGAAAGTATTTTATTCTGCAACAAAGATTAATACTTAAAAATGTAATGAATTTTGTGATGTAGGAGAACTTTATAAATCCCTGATACCAAGAGCCTAAGATGCTTCAAAATGATGCCATGTACCAAAACCTAAAACCATGTACCAAAATCTAAACTGTACACCTAGAAGGGAAATAGCCTTTGGTACATTTTCATGTTTGTGAATTGTGAATATATATATACACATATATATTCATATTTGTGAATATATATATACACATATATATTCATATATATGAATATATGTATATATATGAATATATATATATATACAGATAGATAAATAGATTGATCTCAGTCAGATCTCGCATCTAAATTTAAAGACGTAATACACACACTTGAGAAAAATGTGTGTTCAGAGAGAGTTTATTATATCTAATCACATTGCTATAATGGTCATTTGGAAATTTCACCTTGGCCTTATGTGTAGAGTATTGCTCCACATCTACTCTTGCTATTTAGTTCATATTACTAAGACATCTGGCTTTTTAATATCAGTGCAACAATGTTCAAACTCAGGCACTTCCAATATAACTAAAGAGCAAGGAGAGTTCTGTCCTTTGACAAAGATAAAAGTGGTAGTAACAGTATATTGGGCCAATTCCCTTTAATAGTCTGGAATTGATTTATTGCATGTTTTTTATCTAAACCTTTTATGAACCTATTATATTTTCAGCCTGTGTTACTTCCATGAGCACTCTACCTAATAAATAAAGTAGTATGGCACTTCCCATTATTTTCCTATATTTATCTCTTTTAAACTTCAAAGGGTGCCCTAAGACCTAGTATAATTGAAGTTTGTGGATAGCTTGGCTTCTACACTCTTCACCTTCTTCATGATTTAATAGATGTCAGAGTTTCCAGATTGAAGATGCTAATCTTTAGGGTCTCCCTTTACAAAGCTGCTTCTTTTCTTTAATGATAGTTTAGTTGTCTTCCTGTTAGCATTTTCCAGCTCTATTGTATTTCTTTGAGGTAATACAGTTCTTTGTGTGAGAACATGCAGGCACATGGTTGATAGAAGCTAATGATAGAAAGGATGAGCATTTCAGCATATGGATTCCAGACTTGCCTTTTTCACCAATCAAGGGACCTTCAACATATGCCTTACTACCTCTTGATTTTAGTTTGCTTTCATCAAACATTGGCACTTAGAAGAATTGGTTCTAAATTCCATTCTGAACCTGGAATCTCAGAAATGAAACTACAAAATTACTTTAAGAAATACTTTAGGGGTGGTTAATGAGACAAGAAACAAAATGAAGTCATTTAGACTTTAGCCATGCAATTTCATATTCTGACACGGAAACTTTCTAGGACCTAGAGATCACCATACCCAGTGTGTCACCTCATCATTAGTCTCTTTACATGTCTCAGAGGGAATTAAATTTTCCTATCTCTTAGTACATGTTGTTTACCCATAATTTGTAGAATTAACAGGAATATTTGATAATTATTATCTGATTTATTTAAATATTGTTTGAGGCAGTGAGGAAAAATCCATATATAAAATAGATGAAAATCTATGACCTCATAGAGTTTACTTTCAAGGGTGGCATCAGACAATACAATGTGAATAACAAAAACATTTCATATGGCTTATTTGTAATAAGTGCTATGGAGGAAACAGTGCAGAGAAGAGGAGTGTTATTGGTTTATAAGTTGTTTCTTCTCACCACAGGACACCGCTCCTTGATGACAGAGTCTTTTTCTCTACTAGACCTCAGAGTACGTACTGAGCTCTCAAAAAACAAAACAAGCAAAAAACAGTTGCTGTGTGGGTATCTGGCTATGTCCTGTGTTTCCTTCAACCTGCTGTTATGCTTTGATAGTATAGAAATGTTACAGGAATGTATTTCTTAGGGAAAAAAGAGAGAGAGAACTTTCATTTCTCACTAGATAAGGTACAGTTCAGAAAACAAAAAAAAGTTTTGAGTGATACATTTTTCATTTTCATCACTGGTATAGTTGACAGTTATGTGAAAAAAAGAGACACATGCTGCGAGGCAAATCCCTAAAAACACATATGCTGTTATTTAAAAACAGCTCACCCTGCAATTGCATTTGGAATTCAGCACTGCCTTCTACTTGCTTTGTTTCTGATAGCATTCCTTTTCTGCAAGGTAAGAGATATTCAGACCTCTGTGTTGCTTCAATTCATAAATATTTTTGTTCACATGATGCTTAAATGCCATTTGAAAAACTCCTGCTGGACCTGAAAATATCTCTTTTGGGGATGTTCTTATTTCTCTATTGCTAATATTGCATCATTTTCCAATTACATATGTTTGAGGTGATTGAAAAGAGAGAATTTCTCTGATTGTTTAAATTATTTCTGATTTGAAAGAAATAGTCCACTTTAAGAATGCACATTACAATGACAGTTCTCTTTTAAAATTTGTTATGCGGTTTACACATTTTGGCCTGGCGCTGTACATTTGTTCAGTGATATATTGTTATTACCCTTTTTCCTCATTGCATGTCATATTTTATATGCAATCATCAGACACTTTCCTGCTCAAGTGGTCGTTAGCATTGTGCTCTCCAGCTGTTCAAGACTGTTACATAAAACTAGTACCCCCACCAGGAGCGTGCCTGACTAGCTTCCCTGCATCTGCAGGACTGCTGGCTTGGAACTGGCTGCAGAATGAGTGCTGTGAGGCTGCTCTGATCCAGTAGCTCTAGTTCCCAGTCATATCTTCTTCCTGCATGACACAAAGGAAATGTGAAATAATTCTCATTTCTGGCGGAGGCATAGCATTTTCTCCCTTTTCCCTACAATTGGCATTATAAGAACAACACTTTTTGAAGCTGTCTCACAGTTTTATGTGCCCTAGAAAGTGCTACCACTGAGGTCAAATATGCGAGTCACATCACGTTATGTGGTCTCAGAATCCTCTTGAAAATAAAAGGATTAAATTAAATAATTTCTAACTTTTTAAAAATTTACAAAACGGAATGATACTAAGTGAAGATTTTATTTTTAAAAATATGAGAGTAAAATATAAACCTGACATTAGAGGGTTGTTTCCCCTAACTACCTATACTTTTATTTCTTTGTGATTAAAATACATGAAGTAATGCCTGCTGTCTCTTGAATATTGAGAGCCTCCCTGCTACCACCACCAATAAATACCGCATCTGTCCTAGGATTTTGTTAAGTCCTGGGGACCTGAAGAGGAGTTAGAGTCTGTATTCAAAAGTTTATATTAGCAGATTTTAACTGCCTCATGATTATCACTGTCAAAACTGGCTGGGCTTTAGAATGGTAATCCATTCTCTAATCAGAACACTAGAGTGATCTGAATAAGGTAATCTGATCTACAAATTTTCATCCATGCTAATGCATTCCAAATTCTGCAGCCTGCTAAAACTGATCCTTCAATATCAACAGAGCTAATGAATTTGCTGTGGCTAGCCAGGAAAATGTCCCTTCTTCCCTCAGGCCCTTTCTTCTCCCTCCTTGCCAATTCTCACAGCCAAATTGCGATCAGATATATTCTTGATTTATCATGCATACTCTTTCCCATAACATTTAGAAGCTGAAAAATTTTGTCAACATTCGCACATCAAATTAATATGTTTTGTCAAAGGTCAGCTGTGACTTGTGAGTTTGAGTTTGTGCTGACATTTTCTGAAGTCTTCGTTCTAACTGAATTGAGTAGCCTTCAAGCAGGTCTGCTTGTTTCTGTGCTTGCTGCACCTCAATCTCTCTCAACCCAAGTAAATGAGATCGTGTTAGTCTTCTGTGCAAATGTCTCTCTTGGTGTAAAAGCCAAAGACGTTGCAAGAGCTGGCAAGAAGCCAATGCACTTGGATCTGCATTTCCTCTCTAACCTCATCTTCTTTCGTTCTCTCAGGACTCACAGCACTCCAGTCATACTAGTTTTAGGCTGGTCATATAACATTCCGTCATGTCTCTACCTTGGGTGGGGCCTTTATTTGTTGCTGTCCCTTATGCATGAAAGATGTTTATATCTGTGTGTGTGTGTATACACACGTATATCATGTATATAATGCATATAAATGAATTATATGTGTGCATATAAATGGATTATATATGTGTGCATGCACACACACATAAATATGTCCATCTATCTATATAGATGAGAAAGAGAGAGAGAGATCAACTAGGCTTTCTCTTTTTTCCTTCAGTTCTTTAGTCAAAATGACTCTTTCAGGAAGGCTTCCCCAGACTTTCCAATTTAAAATAGAAATCTCTCCACATTGCCTATGCCATTTTCCTGTTTTGGTGTTTTCTGAACATTTATTACATGCAATATACTCTGTATTTTACTTTTTCCATGTGGTTATTGTTGATATCCTCTCAGTGAAATCAAGCTTCTTGCTGACAGTGAGTTTGCTGGTTTTGTTTCTGCTGTGTTACTTATTTATTGTACTTGTCTGAATCTTTCCACTAAAATGGAAGCGAGCTTTTTATGGCTGAGAAGGTTGTTTGATTTGTTTAGCTCTGTGTCCTCTTAGTAGATATGCCTTGGTCAAATGCATGAATAAATAAATGGATATGGGGATTCTGTGGGGTTTCTAGATGGCAGCCAGTCCCAGAGATCTCAGGGAGACTCAGTTTCTTCTTTGGGACTCCTTGTGCACACTGCTTCTCTGACACTCATTGGCACTGTAGGTGAGAGGCAGAGTGAGCGCTCTTAGAGGCACACTAAGGGCTCTCATGACCTGGCAGTTCTGATGTCCTTGAGGAGACAGCCGATGGAGGCTCCCTCCTGAATTAAACTGCATCAGGCCTACCAATATTTGCTGCATGCTGGCAGATATATCCCAGTTTCAATCTCAAAATATTAAGTCAAATGCTGATAGGTCCAAGTGTCTTGTATATTATGCTGGCAGTTAGACCTTGACGATAAGATGGAACTAAAAAGAGTTTTCCATAAACCTTCAAAAGTTGAAACAAGCTGTCCAGAGCTAGTCAGTCAGCTAAATTGATTGCTGCTTTATGGGATTTGTTTATTTTGTTTGTGCCTCTTCTGTCAACATTCTTTATGTCTAATATGAATACAGACTGGTATGGGCACCGCTTAACAAAACAGGGGCAATGAGAAGAGGATGAAAAAAAAACCTGTTCTGCCCTATAAGTGTGGTAGTATACAACTGGCATATTCAAAGTTGATTTCCCAAAGCAATTCTAAACAATATATAAAGGCCAGAAAAGTACAACTTTAACAAGTATATGTACTGTCCTTAGTATATATATGGAAAAATAGTTTAACTTGTATGATTTTAAATCAGACACAGAGCTTAGGTCTGTTTTCACTTTCAGAGATCTCTCTTTATTCAATAACCAGATTTTGAAGAGAAAAAGGATGCAATCACATTTTATATATATTATTCAAGGTCTTATCTTAATTTACTAATCATTAAGGCTGATTCATTTTAGACAAAAATGAATAACTGCTTTTTAATAATTTTTTTTCTCAACCAATTTGGAGATGTAATTATTGAGGGAGCTTATGTACATCTTAGAAAGATGTGCAATCTTCTTTTAATGTATATTGTTTTGTCAAACTATAATAGATGTAAATAATGACTGCATTTTGAGCTCACAAAAGGACGTCAGAAAACAAGTTGTTGACTTTAGAAAAACTATTGATGTGTTTAATAAAAAATATTATGCCTATTAACGTGTGAGGAGATAAGAGCTTTATGAGCTGAAGTTAGTAAGGTAGAACTAAAAAAGAGATAATTTAAGGTAGATTTTTGCAGAAGTATTTATTCTGATGTGTGTAAATATATATCATTTATTTTACTGCTACAAGGTATTTCTTTTTGTGAACAAACCTCAATGGTGACTTTCTTAGTCCCTTCTGGTTACAGTGACAACCTACCATAAAGTGGGTAGCTTTTAAACATTAGAAATGTATTTCTCACGGTTCTGAAGGCTGGAAACTCCAAGATGAAGGAGAGCAGAGTCAGTATACGGCGAGGCCCTCTTTCTGGTACAGAGACAGCTCCTCCTCCTTGTGACCACACGTAGTAGTGGGAGTTAGCTAGTGGTCTGGGGTCCCTTTTATGAGTACTAATCCCAATCATGACCCAATCATCTCCTAGACTCTTCCTTGTAATATCATTATCTTGGGGGTTAGGATTCCAACATATGAATGTTTTAGGAACATAAATATTCAGACAATTAATATTTATAAATATTCAGCATTTTGCATCTGGCCCTCCAAAATTCATGTCCTTCGTGCAGGCAAAATACATTTGTTTTACCACATAGCCTTGAAAATCTTAACTCGTTCCAGCATCAACTTTAAAATCTAAGTCCAATGTCTAATCTAAATATCATCTAAATCAGGCCGGGCACGGTGGCTCACGCCTGTAATCCCAGCACTTTGTGAGGCCGAGGCGGGCAGATCACGAGGTCAGGAGATTGAGACCATCCTGGCTAACACGGTGAAACCTCGTCTCTACTAAAAATACAAAAAATTAGCTGGGCGTGGTGGTGGGTGCCTGTAGTCCCAGCTACTTGGGAGGCTGAGGCAGGAGAATGGCGTGAACCCGGGAGGCGGAACTTGCAGTGAGCCGAGATTGCGCCACTGCACTCCAGCCTGGGTGGCAGAGTGAGACTACGTCTCAAAAGAAAAAAAAAAATCATCTAAATCAGATATAGATGAGACTAGAGGTACCATTCATCTTGAAGGAGATTGCTCTGCAATTATGCATCTGTGGAATCAAACATGTTATGTACTTCCAACGTGCAGTGGTGGGACAGGCACAGGGTAGACATTACCATTTCAAAAGTAGAGAAATAGGAGAGAAGAAAGGAGTGTCATGGCTGTTTTATGATTGACTACTTTAGTATATGACTCAATGATACTATAGAACACATTAAAACAATTAAAATAATTATTAAAATCAGATGTTTGACATAGATGCCTTTGCAGTTTGTAAAAAATTCAAAATTAAATAATATACAATGCCTCTAGGTGCTTCTTAATATGTCATTTAATACCAGTATAAAATAAGCTCTACAAAGACCAGGAAGTCAAATTAAACAAAGACCAGGAAGTCAAATTAAACAAAGGAGTTTCATGATTATGTATAAACATTTGATTACACTGTTGTGGAGAGTTTAAGCATTATTTAGATAATTACACAATATAACTTTTTCCTCTTTATGATTCTTTAAAGTGACCAGCGCCAGTTACTGGACTATTCGCTTAATCAGTTGGCTAGAACCAGTACTTGTTTGAAATCTCTATGTCAGATAAAATTAAGGAGCCAGCGTTTAAAAGGAATAGCTGATACACATGTAGAACTTTAACAAAAATAGAAAGTACAGAAAAGAAAAAGGCTTCATGCTTATCCACTTAATATTTGTGCAAGGCTGTAGAATAATCACATGAGTTTTAAGAGTAATATTTAAATTATTAAGTAAACATCTTGTTAATTGAAAGGATTTAAAAAACAAATGGCAATGAAACACTCAGCAATCACCTTTACATGATTTACTCTGCAACAGCGTTGTCTCTTCAAATGATTTCAACTTTTGCTTCGTAACAAGTTATCCTTCAGTCATATTCATGAGAGTGCAGTTTCCAGAGACTCAGAAATTTTGCAATCAAATCCATGTTAAATGATTTTACATCAGTTTTATCCATAATTATGCTAATAATAATGGTCCATTCTTTGAGTGGATTTCTGAACAGATGATGAACTACCTCATATTTCACATTTAACAGTGAAAAAATTCTGAAAACCAAAAAATGAACCCCTAACCAAACACACATTGAAATTGGACACTCTTGAATTGAGGAGTGTTAACTACCCTTTTAGCCATTGCACATGATACAGATAAAATCACATAACATTTTTGACACTGATATGTAAAATAGAGGGTGGGGAACAGACTGATTGCTAAGATTCCTTACAATTCTAAAACCGTATGGCTTTGTAAACAACCCCTTCACAAGATGACCAATTGGGTTTACGGTTATATTGATAATGACAAAGTGATCCAAGTGCATCAGGCGGGGAGGTGGGTATCATCTCTTCTGCAGGGAGGCCTCTGGGAGGCACATAGCAAAGGAGCATGGATATGTAATCCTAAAGAGGAACAAATGAAGAGTTAGAAGCAGCTGTTTGATTATTCCTTTGTTACATCTTCCATTAATTTGTGGTCAGATATTTCTTTATTCTTTTGTTCTGTTTTTATCCTAAGATCTAATAAATATTAAATGGTATTTTCTTAGAGCTTTTTAAAAAATAGTATTACTTTTACATTTGCTCTTAAAGTCATTTAGAATTTATATTGGCATGCATAGGCTATGAGGAGCCAATTCTTTTTCAAATAGTCAACTAATTTTATCAGCAAATTTTACTAATGATCAGTATGCTTAATGCCTACTCCAGACTTCAGCCAGGTCCTACTTCTACATTTTGTTTAAAGTTTGCTTTTGGTTCTTATCTTATTGATCTCAATACAAATATTCTAGGTAATATTACAATTTCGTGGTTCTCCATTTGGGGTAATTTTTCTCCCTTCCCTCCAGATAGTATTTGGCAGTATCTGGAGACATTTTTTTGTCTGCCGTGATCGGGGCAAAAGCAGGAGGGGTGCATTGCTACTGGCATGGTGTAGGTAGAGGCTGGGGATGCTGCTAACCATCCTACAATGCACAAGATTCACCTCCCTAACAAAGAATTGTCTAGTCCAAAGTCTCAAGAGTGCCACTCTTGATAAACTCTGATATATACTCATTTTGAATACAGCTTGATGCACCTGCAAGGGGCTGGATTGACCATTCCCTTTCGTAATAACTGATGCAAAGATTTTTGACTGAAGGAATATGTGTTTTCAAAAGATGAGGTGTTAAATTCAATGGAATTATAACAATGAGAGATTTGTGCTTTTCTAAAATTACTTCTCGCTTAAATGTCCTTGAATTTTTTTAAAAAAGATATATTGATAAGATAACTGCTAGAGGAAAAATAGTATATGCACTCTGAGGACCAGTATAATTTATGGTCATGCCACAGAGTGAACTTAGCTGACATACAAATTGATAAACACAAGACTTTGGCCTTAGTCCAGTGGTCTAATAGAAATATGAATTTGATACTCCTACTTATCTGGAATCAATGAAAGCATCTGAGTGCCTGAGAATGTTTATTCTGGAGAATAAGTTTTATTTTGCCTCATGTCCAAGTACTCACAGAACAAGAACAATTGATTGTAGAATTCTTTTTTTAAATATAGAAAGTATGAGGTATGTGCAGATTTTGAAAAAAAAAATTGCAATCTACTAATAGCCTTTTCTTTGTATGAGCTTTATTCACATTTATCAATGCTGCCATTTATTTCTACCATTCATTTTTCTATATATTTTATGCCTTCATTCCTTTTTTTACCTTTTAACCTAAATCCGACCCCCAAGTGTAGAATCTATATTCAGTGTTCTTTCCTACAATGTAAAAATTCTTTAAAAATTACAGTGTTAACCATAATCCAAATTCGTTGCGGAAAAAACAAATTTCTGGTTCTTGTGAGCCTTGGGAAATGCAGAAGTTATTCACTTAGTTCCTTAATTAATGAACATTTAAATATTACTTTGTCTTTGCAACAGAAAAATGAGAAAATGGAAGTTTACTTTGTTTGCCAAGGCTAGATACCTCTTCCTAAAAATTATTTTGCATACACCTTCCTCTTTCTTTTTTTTTTTAACTTTCTGAAAGAACTAAATTTATGTAATGCAATGAAATATATACTTTTTTTAAAGAACATAAACAAAATAATTACAGTCAACATTCCATAAAAAGAATATGGCTATAATTTATATGATTTGGGGTAATTAAAACACAAGACATGCTAACACCTTGGCAATGAGAAGGGATAAATGAAAAACACTAAAACACTATGGTCAGGCTCACAACTTCTAATTGCCAAGGGATCTGGGAAATGAACACCTACTAAGGTTGATCACAGTAAGGACCTCCTCATGCCTCAAGGCAGAATTTCCAAAATATATGCTGTGCTCAGCTTTGGTCACTTTGTTGAATTGCATATATGATTTAATTTCTATGAAGAGGGCCAGTCTAATAAGTAGGCATGGCAGTAAGAATCCTATGGTACCTGGAAATTAAGTGAAGGTTAGAGAGCTCTGTTGGTATTATTTGGGAATTATATTCACCAACACTTCAGGCTTCAGAGAGCAAAAACCATCCATGAAAGATGTAGGAGTTTATAGGGAAGCTCCATAGTCTTAGAAAGAATTGAAGTCATTCACATATTATCTGTTTTGTTCCGTTTTTTCCATACCTACAATATACTAAGCACTGTTCTGTGCAGTGTGGCTCCCAAGGGAACAATCAAAACTAGTTTCCTGTACTCATGTAGAATGTATTTCAGTGACAGATGATTAACAGTTAAATACTATAAAAATCACATTGTGATAACGTGAATAAAATAAACAAGATAAACTGATCAAGAATGTCTTTGAAGGTCAGTTTTTAGTGTCAACGAGGTGATATTTGAGAACTGAAAAATGCGAACAGAAATATAAAATATTTGAAATATGTGAAAAGTGAGCAGAAGAGATTTCCATGCAAAAGGAACAGCAAGTGCAAAAATTCTGATGCAGAAATGAGCTTGGTGTTTTGGTAAAAATGAATGGAGGCTATTGTGCCAGATGATACTTGATCAAGAGAAATCAGTGAGAAAGGAGTTTGGAGAAACAGGCGAGAACAGTATTATCATGGATTGTGGGTAATGTGGGCAAGTTGAGAAGAAAGCATAGTTGAGAGTGGATGTCTACTTGTTGGGGAGGTGGCCACACTCACCAGAGACAACAGAATATGTAGATGCTCCTGGTGCTTGACTCCTGCAGCTGAAGATGGCACAATGGGTAAAACCAGAGCCTGTACATCGTCATCTGCTACTGCTCTGACCAATAGGAGTACAGGAGAGAACCACACAAAAAATAAGTCCTGCCGCCTTGGATTTTCACAGAATAATTAGATGGCAAAATGAAGAAGCAAATGCGACATAAACATGAGTCTTGTACTATGCCCCAGTTTACATGGGTACATATAAAATACTCCCAAATATCAAATTTTAATCTAGTTGGCAAAGATAATTATTGCAGTCATGAGGACGCTAATAATTGTCACTGGTTCTGTTTACTCGGTCTGGAAACCAAAACTAAATTCTGTCTTCATCTGATGGTGGCCCCAACAATGAGAATTTGTAAAAGGCAGTGACAGAGAAAAAAATGGAGACGTTCATCCCTGACCCATTTTATTGGCTTCTGCAATGTCATGCTAGTCATTTCCTCAAATACTTAATTTATCAGCCTGCTATTATTTAATATGCACATCATCAATTACAGTGAAATCTGCACCCAATTAGTGTTTTCCAAATTCTGTAACATTGGATCAGGAGGGAGCATGGATAACACTGAAAGGGTGCAAGCTCTGGAGATATGTTTCTATTTATGTATGGTTTTAGAAGGAATTAAGGAATATATTGTGTGCTGTGTAATGCCAGATTCCATTATTCAAGCATAACATTATCCATACTTGTTTGCATTTTTCTACTTCATAAATGTTCATTGCAAGGATATAGCCTATCCGTAGAACTTACAGAGTTTTTCCTATCAATAGAGAGTAATTATTGTTTTAACATTTTTGGATCCATCATGATTGCATTATAGATATGTAATGACACTGACCATAAAATAGAACCAGGAAGCACCTTTATCAACATTATTATCAGACTATGTTCTTTATCTGTCTGCTTTGACTTAGTTATACTGTTCCGGAATGCACATTTTTAACTCACAAAATGAACTCTTGGTTTTGATGTTTGGGTATCTCTCTGAATAGGTAATTCTTCAGATGCAAAGTCGAATTTGTCCTTGTCCCATTCTTAAATGAATGCTTCATTCAACATTTATTTATTGAATAAATACATAGAACATAGAATATTGAATAAATAAATAGAAATATAGAAGGTGTTTTTAGTGGGGTAAGGGAGCAATAAATACCCAGTTCGAAAAAGCCCTTTCTATACAAAAACTAGGGAAAATATTTTATCCGTACCACAGAATATATGTTCATGAGAAACTCATTCTTCAGTGACCATTAATTCATGTGCCTCGAAGTTTATTTAAAGCTTGAGGCAATTGCCACAGTGTCCTAGGTAGCAACATTGTCCCCATTTGTACTTCTGAGACTCTTCTCCAGCTGCCCCAAATACTTCCAAGGACATTCTTTCACTTTTACGGTAAATAAAAGCTGTCATTTCCTTTTTTTTTTTTTTTTTTTCCCAGCAAAGAGGATGCTTGCAAGCCAAACAATAGCAGAAAAATACAGTGAAAACAATGAAGGAAAATGTGAAAACTATTACACAGGAAAGAAAGAGAACACATAGAAAATAAAGACGACGTAGTCTTCCTCTTTTTCTAGGAAGGCTGTAAAAGCATGAAAATGAGTCTTATGTAACCACGTGTTATTTATTCTTGCTCATAGATATATTAACAGCAGAGAATACGTATGCATTGTTTTTCCTGAGTTTTTAAAAGGTACTTTTACTCACCACAACTATATTTGAACAAAACATTAAATAGCTACAGGCAGTGCTGATACTCTCCACATATTCCCTATGGCTGATTTGCACTTCAGTTATCCATTTTTTTTTTCTCTTAAGAAAGAGGTACCTTCAGTAGGAATGGAATGAAAATCACTATATTGCATTATTTAACATTTTTTTCTATATGGAAGTACTCTAGAATTATCCTAGATAATGACAATGACACTCAAATCAGTTACTAGTATGTTTCTGAAGCAGTCGGTTTGGATTACATCTCTCAGAGGGCTGTGTCCTCAATGTGTTGCAAATAGCATACTGCACAATCTTGAGAAGAAGTCTAGTCATCTTTTAAAAAATTGAAAATACAATAGTAATATTCCATCAGGGGCTCTGATTACCACAAATATTTTATGATAGATTGAAAAACTGCCTTACATTTCAAAAGTTCCATTTATGTCTATTAATCAATCTTACTGTATTGATTAAATAGGAGCACACCAGTAAATGTGAACAAATGAAACAAATAACTCCTCCAAAAGTTATTTTTGCCATAAGAATTATGTATATAAACCTGAGAGCTTTTCTCAGTTGACTTCTGACTTTCTAATGGCAAGTGTGTTTCTGTAGTTTTACCCCCAATAATAAAGAAATACAAAAAGCATTAATGTGTACCATTAACGCATTGATCAATTATTGAGGTTTCTCAATTGGATAACCTCCATTATTTTGTGACACTGAGTAAACTATTTTTAATTCAACCGTACTGTCAGTTGAAATACATTTTCTATATTCACAGTCGTAAATATGCAGAAAAGAAGTATATCTGTGAGATAAGGTGATAAGCAATAAATTTTTCACCAAAACAAAATTGTAAAACTTTATGAAATGTCCTTTTTGGAATATCATATTGCAATTGAAACCACACTGATTATGGCATTTATTGTAGTTCAGGGAACTATTCTTACTTCCAGTGGGCCACTAAGACACTTTGTCCCTTCACACACATATGATCATAAGCAACTGATACCTTTTGCTAAAATGTAGAATATCTAATTCTTATTAAAAGAAAAAGATATCTATGATATTGAATTCTTATTAATTTGTTTGATTGTTATTGTGTTAGGTTCCTATTAATGTGTAACGTACTATCACAAAATTTAGCTCTTTAAAACAACCTACATCCATTATCTCACAAGTTCTGTAGGTCAGGAATGCAGGCAGGCTTTGCTTGGATCCACTGCTTTAAGATTTCTTGCCGGTTGCAATTAAGGTTTCATCTGAGGTGTTGCTCAATGGGTGGTTGTTGGCAGGTTCCTGTTTCTATGGGTCGTTGGACTGAGGTCCTCAGTTTCTTGATGGCTATTGGCCTTCAGCCACAGTCAGTTCTTGACTCCATGATCCTCTTCAACATGGTGGCTTGTGCATCAAAGCATGCAAGCTGAGAAGGCAATAGAGAGTCTCCTAGCAAGATGTAAGTTGCCATCTTTTGTAACTGAATCATGGGAATGTATCTCTTCACCTTTGCTGAATTATGTCGGTTAGCAGCAAGTTACTAGATCGGTGCGCATGCAAGAAGATGGGATCACATAGGGTTTGCATACCAGGAGGAAGGGACCATTGGTGGGGGACCCTCTTAAAAGTTCATTGTTAACAAAAATCTACTCTGAAAATAGGAGACAAAACTTGTTTAACAATTTTTCTAATAATCCTATTTTATTCTCTCACTATAACTATATTTTTCGATATTTTACAAGTTATGAACAGTCTATTGTTTGAAGACAACATAATAAGGGAGACAGAGAAAGACTTTTCTTTTTTTAATTTTAATTTTATTTTTTAATAGAGATAGAGTCTCCCTGTGTTGTCCAGGCTGGTCTCAAACTCTTGGTGTCAAGCGATCCTCTCACCTCCCAAATTGTTAGGGTTACAGCCATGGAGCCCCCACATCAGGCCAAGACTTTAAAAAATCCCGGTTTAACCAGTTACAAGCTATATTATGTTAATCACATTACTTAATTCATCAGCATTGTTTGGTGTATCAATTAAAGGGGTGGATACTTAATATGGCCTAGTCATGGGCACCCCGTGAGGGAAGAATAACAATATATTATTTTCCAGGAACTTACTGAGCAACTGTCTCTACAGGGATCTGTGCTAAATGCTGGGTATAAAAAGGTAAGGAATAAATAGTCCTTTCCTGGAGCAACAAATAATATAAGATGAGAAACAATGTTTAAGCTATGCATAAATGTGTTTGGCGTGTAATAGCCACTCAGCAAATGATGGTACTAAAGAGGGATATTGTTCTTTTTCTGTTTTCTTTTACTAAATACTGATTGCTGAGCCTCACTACATATTGTACCTTGTAGCCTTCAGTGACTGCAAAGGAGCAATTGTTACAGTCTTAGGAGGACATCAGTTAAAGGTGCAGCTTCCCCACTTTCTCCAGCCCTAACCTGTTTACATTTTTCTAACTTCTTCACATCTCCAAACTGTCTTCCCTATCCCCTCAGTGCACATAGGTACAAGGCATTTAAAATCTTCTTGAGGATTTGAACTGAGAACAATAAAATGCCAAGGATGAGAATATTGCCAGGAAATATTTATTGATGTTAGTATGAAGATTTCACCAGAAATAAATTAAATCAATATATAATCTCTATATTCACAGATCATAATTCCATTCGGTAGAGCAGTTTAACATTGCCATTCAGAGGAAACCTAATGTTTTATTCATGTGTATTTTGAAATAGAGGCCAAACATTCATATTTATAATATGAAAAAAACACATTAATATTTAAATCTCTCTAAATTTAATCAAATACAATTAGCATAATGGAAGCAAAAATAAAGATAATCCTAGTCAATACAATTTTTAAATGTACTCTAAAATATTGTAACTAAGATTAAAAATTAAGTTTATATTTAAGAAGCTATTTAATGTTCTTTTCTACAGTCCAACACATGTATGTTTAGGATTCTTTGCCTCATTTTCCCGTTTATGTCATTAGGAATCTACTTCACAATATTTTAAAAATTAATTTAGCATTTGTGAAGGTACATTGCTAAGCAGTTGTCATGGAATAATTGGCAACATAAGAAAGTTTATTTTGCAGAACTGTCTCAGGATAAAATTAGGCCCTCCAAACAATGATCAACTAGCTAAATACCTCTCCTGTATGCGTAATAATATGGAGCGTTTCTGGGCCCAGGGCCTCCTTGCCATATGCGAGGGAGTGACTTTTACCGCGTTTCCCTCCCTGCTCTTCTACTCCGTACCTTGGCTTGCACGTTGTAATGGTGACCAGATGCTGTAGCGTGAATTCTGTGAATGGCAGGGGAAGACTTGGATGAACATCCGACAGGCAGTGAGCAGCACGATTAGTCATTCTGACGGGTGCCTGATCATCGATGCGAAGCCAGCTAGTGGGGAATTAGGAGAGTATCAGCAGTTGTGAGGATGACTCCAGCCAGGCCGGAAAAGGTATAGGAGAGATCTAAGAAGAAAGAGCAGAAATCAAAACATTGTGGGGAAACTTGCACAGCCTTGCACTGGTGGACACACAATCTCCTGAATTCCTCTGGGTCTCTGTTGTACAGTAGCTAGTCCTTCAATACACTTATACTGTAATCATTTAAGAAGCGTTCATTTTGATAGACACTTTCAGAGTTGTGCTGGCATCTGATGCAGTGTGGTTGTCTTAACATATTCTCATAGTGTCCTGTCATAATCTCCTGCTGAAGTCTGTTGTCCAAGGTTTCTTGTCTTTTCCTCCCTCCCTTCCAAATTGTGTTCTGTTACTCTGAGTCACATCTTCAGCGCACACTGGATTGTGTGGAGCTCTGTGAGGTTGTCCTCTTACTCATTTACCTAGACAGTTTCATCAACCATTTCTTACTTTCCACGCAGCCTGTGCTTCTTCTAACCTCCCCCCAACTATCGTTCCACCAAGCCTCAAGGATGTTGACTAGAGGCATGGAAGGGGAAAAAATCAACCAGGACTCAATAGCTTGACCCTCTTTGATGATCTGCATTCTATTTATTTCCCTGAGAGCCATTCTTCAGAATCCGTAATGGTTTCCCCCTTCCCAGTGGGATGGGAATTCTCCTACATTTTATTCTTAGTTTTGTCCATACTGAGGTTTTGAGTAAAGCTTTAAAAATTCAACAATTAGTGATTTTCAAGCACTGATTCTGCAAATCCACTGAAGAAAATACAATTTGAAACTCAGAACTATATAATCACACCTTTATTCTAATTCTATCCACACCCTTGGAGCTTTATATCCAAAGCCTCCAGCTCAAAGAATAATGTTAAGTTAATTGGGGTGCAGCTATGCATAATGTGTTATGGGAAATTTTTCAATGTACACATTTTAATAACTTTGAAATTGCAGCTTATTCATTTTATATTGCTAAGATATCTATTTCACCCTGACGAAATTTAAGCTTTCTTTAAACCAGTGCTCTTGTGCCATTATATCCTCATTATATAGCAAAGTATCTGGTTCATGTGAAGTATTAAACAATTGTTCATTAAACAAATTAATTAAGTGATGGGATGATTAAAAATTTTTAAATGTGTTTTCACTGAAACATTAGGATAATGTAATTTTTACTACTACTTTATATTTTGAAACCTTTTGTTAAAACATTCAGAATGTAGGCCAGGTGCGGTGGCTCACGCCTGTAATTCTGGCACTTTGGGAGGTCGAGACGGGCGGATCATGAGGTCAAGAGATTGAGACCATCCTGGCCAACATGGTGAAACCCCGTCTCTACTAAAAATACAAAAATTAGCTGGGCGTGGTGGTGCGCACCTCTAGTCCCAGTTACTCGGGAGGCTGAGTCAGGAGAATCGCTTGAACCCAGGAGCCAGAGGTTGCAGTGAGCCAAGATCGCGCCACTACACTCCAGCTTGGTGACAGAGTGAGACTCCATCTCAAAATAATAATAAAAAAAAACATTCAAAATGTAAATAAATTAAGCCACTAAGAAACAACACGTGTGTTGACAAATAGAATAAGAAAAGTCATAGAAGATGACTCGATTTGCCAACAGAAACTGTTACTGCTCCATATTCTGTCTCATTACCAGTGGTTTAAAATGGGATAATTCTGTCGGCAATCTTTTTTTAATATAAGAACATGGCTATACTACTGTTTAAAAATATGAAATATTATCTTACATACACTAGTGTTTTTCCTCCGAAGATTAATATTTCTAGCCAAGGATATTTCAGTAGCAAAGAATGAGGATTTGAACATTGTCAGGAAGGTCAAAATGGCTAGGTTGATGCTGTCAAATTAAACAAAAAATAGAGGGCCTGCTTTAAAATATAGAATTATCTATATAGCAATACTTAGTTAATAATGTTTAATCACCAGATAATCTCTCCTATTTATATTAGGCTAGGAGATAAAACATTTAAAATATTAATGAAACACTCACAAAAATGGTACATATTTGCTTTTTCCTCATTATGACAAAACTTTCATTGTGTGATCTGAGACAAAATGTCCTTGCTCTGTGAGTAATACATAATTTAATTTTTTGAGAAATCATTAATTTGACCTTTTCAGATAGAATTTTAAAAGTCATAAAAAACTAACGGACATCCCTAGACAATAAAGTGTATAATATAATACTTAAAATTCTAAGTCATATTGCTAAAATTTCTCTGGGATTTGCCAGGGATTGTTGTAAGCTTAGCGTATAAGTCATAAAAATATTTTTCCTTATTTATAATTTATGTCAGACTTTCTGTGTGAATAAAGTAGGAACAACAGACACCTGACGGTGGTTTTTTTAACTTTCCTTCTTATAAATAATGCGACTCTGTTAAGTTCATTTCCCTCGTTGGTTTCCCTAAAGTGTGCCTTTCCCTATTTTTGTTCTGTTCCATCATATACTTGTAAGTCTAAATCCCTTTGAGAGTAACTCTCCCACCCTTGTGCCTGTCTCCAAGGGAAAATGTAATCTTACTTCAGTCATCTAATTAGGACTAGGAGTCTCTGTGCTGCAGGCGTCGGCATCAACATGAGTCTGATGAGCCCGTGTGCTGACATCAATGAACACTTTATTAAATTACACACTCCCCTAAGCAGGCCCAGGCTTTCAGAGCCCTCATATTTTATGCACTGTTGCACTGACTCCCTGTTTGCTGAAGCTGAGGGTGTCCAGGCCAAGCTGAGGAAATAAAGTTCTGATGAGGTTATAGAGATTAAAAAAATATATATTTGACATGGTGTTAGGTGTTAGGCTTAGTCTGTTGTTTTGACAACTGATAACTAGCTAGAATCAAAGAATAACAGGAAACAAAATGGAACATTCAATTTAGGGCATCTTTTTATTTGAAACGCCAATGTCTCAGAGTAGAATAAAGAAACCATTGATCTAAATAACATTTTTAAATGAATGCTTTTTTCTGGATGCTGCATATTTAGATATATAATGGATATGTAGTAAGTTTTGCTTCCTGTGTAATTCATAAAATTACATACTCTTAAACGTTTAAACGTTTTCAATTATTAAAATAATATTTGATAACAAAAATACGATGAAGGTAAAAATCTTTTTTATACATTGCATTCATCCTTTTAAATAAAAGCCATCTTTTTTTTGTTTGTTTGTTCTTTGTTTTTGGAGACAGAGTCTCATTCTGTCACCCAGGCTGGAGTGCAGTGGTGTGATCTCGGCTCACTGCAACCTCCACCTCCCAGGTTGAAGCGATTCTCCTGCCTCAGCCTCTCAAGTAGCTGGGATTACAGGGACATGCCACCATGCCTGGCTAATTTTTGTATTTTTAGTAGAGACAAGCTTTCACCCTGTTGGCCAAGCTGGTCTCGAACTCCTGACCTCAAGTGATCCACCCACCTTGACCTCCCAAAGTGCTGGGATTACAGGTGTGAGCCACTGCGCCAGGCCTGTAATAGTCATCTTAGCAGGTGTTAGATGATAGCTCATTGTGATTTTGATTTGTATTTCCCTGATTAGTGATGCTGAGCATCATTTCATGCAACTTTGGGCCATTTGCAGGGAAGTAAAATTTACAGATAGTAAAATTCATCCTTTCTAGGGTAAAGTTCTATGAATTTTGATAAATGCCTACAGTTTTATAACTACCACTGTAGTCAACATGGAGAACATTTCCATCTCCCCAGGGAGTTACCTCTTGTCACTTTGTGGTGACTAGACATTAACCATCACCGATCTCTCTTGTATCCCTATACTTTTGCTTTTGCAAGAATGTCATATAAATAAAATCATACATTGTATATGATTTTGAGGCTGGCTTATTCTATTTAGCATAAAGCATTTGAGATTCATCCGTGTGTCAATTGATTCATCCATGTGTCAATTGTTGATTCCATTACATTAATAAGTAGTATGTCATTGTATGGATGCACCAAAGTTTGTTTACCCATTCACCCATTTGAGGACATTTGGGTTGTTCCCGATTGATGATTATAAATAAAGAAGATATAATCATTTGTAAAAAGTTTTATGTGAACAAATTTTCTTATTTTTCCTCAACAAGTACCTAGGGTAGGAATATTGTATCAAATGATTAGTACATATGTAACATCTTAAGAACCACAAATTTGTTTTCTAAAGTGTCTATGATATTTTGCATTCCCACCAGCAAGGTATGGAAGTTTCAATTACTCTATATCAGTGGTCTCCAACCTTTTTGGTGCCAACGACCCACTTCGTGGAAGACAGTTTTTCTATGGATGGGAGGAGGTGTTGGGGGAATCATTTCAGGATGACTGTTCCACCTCAGATTGTCAGGCAATCAGCCATGAGATTCTCATAAGGAGTGTGCAAACTGGATCCCTTGCCTGTGCAGTTCATAATAAAGTTCCTACTCCTATGAGAAGCTAATCCCCCCTCCCTCTACTGCTGATTGGATCTGACAGGAGGTGCAACTCAGGTGCTAATGCTTGGTCACAGGCTCCTCACCTCCTGCTGTGTGGCCCGGTTCCTAACAGGTCATAGACCTATACTATATCCCTGCTCTATATCCTTTCCAACACTTGGTAATGTCTTCTTAAAATGTTATTTTAGCTATTTTAATTTAATGTAGTGGTGTGCATTGCGGTCTTCATTTTCAAATTTTTGTTCCATACGGATGAATGATGTTGAGCAAGTCTTTATATGCTTATTTTCCATCTATATATTTTCTTTGCTAAAGATGTCTGTTCAAGTTCTTTGCCTGTTTTCAATTGGGTTATTTGTTTTCATTTATGGAGATTTGGCAATTCTTTATACAGTATGAAAAAAGACTTTATCAGAGACACATTTTCAATTATTTTCTAAGAGTTTTTGACTTTCTTTTGTTTGTTTGTTTGTTTTTGTTTTTTTTTTTTTTTTTTTTTTTTAGAGACATCTTGCTCTTGTTCCCCAGGTTTGACTGCAATGGCTTGACCTCGGCTCACTGCAACCTCCGCCTCCCGGCTTCAAACGATTCTTCTGCCCCTGCCTCCCAAGTAGCTGGGATTAAGGCACCTGCCACCACGCCCAGCTAATTTTTGTATTTTTTAGTAGATATGGGGTTTCACCGTGTTGGTTAGGCTGGTCTTGAACTCCTGACTTCAGGTGATCTGCCGGCCTCAGCCTCCCAAAGTGCTGGGATTACAGGTGTGAGCCATCGTGCCCAGCCAAGAGTTTCTAACTTATCTTTCATTTTATTGTGTCTTTGAAGAGACTTTTGCTTTTAATTTTCATCAAATGCAATTTGTCAGTTTTTTTCTTTTATGTGTCATGATTTAGGTATCATCTCAAAGAAATCTTTACCAATTACAAAAGACAAAAGTTTCAGCGTAGTGATCTTGCATATATTTTGTTTAATTTCTACCCAATTTTATTGCACATTGGTAAATTTTTTTTATTGTATTGTATTTTTAGAGACAGAATTTTGCTTCGTCACCCAGGCTGGAGGGCAATTACATGATTATAGCTCACTGCAGTTGTGAACTTCTGGGCTCAAGCAATCCTCCCACATCAATCTCCAGAGTAGCTACTACAGGCCTGTGCCACTACATGTGGCTAATTTTTAAATTTTTTTGTAGATATGGGGTCTCACTATGTTGCACAGGCTGGTCTTGAACTCCTGGCCTCAAGTAGTCCTCCTGCCTCTGCCTCCCAAAGGGTTTCGAATACAGGAGTGAGCCACATGCCAGACATTTTTAATTTTTATTTTTATTTCAATCTAGAAGTATTAATTGTTTTTATGTAAAACTTTAATTGTTTTGTTTGATCGTATATTCTTGTCAACTTACTGGACTCATTGATTAGATTGGTAGCTTTTAATGTAACTTCTCTGGGATGTTCCATGTTCAGGATCATGCCATTTGCAAATAGACACAGTTTTATTTTTTCCTTTTCAATATGTATGATTTCCATTTCTTTTTTCTTTGCCTCACTGCTTTGGCTAGGACAACCAGTTTAAAGTTGAATACAAGTGGTAAAAGTAGGTATCTTATCTACACTTTGTTCCGGAATATACGGGGGAAACGTTAGCATTTTTTTTTTCCAGCAAGTATGCTAGTTGTAGGATTTTATGGGTCTGCTATATAAGACTTGAGGAAGTTAGTTTCAGTCATACTTTATGGAGAATTTTTATCATGAAGGATGTCAGATTTTGTCTAATGTTTTTTCTTCATCTATTGAAATGGTCATAGTTTTAAAAAATCTGTTGATATGACAGTTACAACAATGATTGGCATTTGAATGTTGAGCCAACATTATACTAAGGTGAAGTCATGATGTATTATATGTTTTACATATTGCTTCCACTTGCTAATATTTTGGTGAAGATTTGTGTATCTGTCTTCACAAAGGTTGTTTTTCAATTTTGTTTTGTTGTTGATATTCTCCTCTTTGTAATGTTTTATCGTTTTGGTGTCAGAGTAATGATACATACATAAAATGTGTTGGGAAGTGTTTTTTATTCTTTATATTCTACATATATAGTACCTGTTTGGATTGTGTTAGACTCCAAAGAGAAAATGTGCAGATTGAATTGAATGGTCTTTACAACTAAAGCTGATGAAGGCAGAAACTGACACCAGTAGTTATACAGAGACTTGTACTTCCTTATCATGTTGTGTTCTTTGTTCCTCTTGATATATCACAGCTGTTTCACTTCTACCCTAGTGGCTGTCTGATTCCTCTTATTTAAAAAATTGAAATCTTCTAGTTTTTAGAGTTTCATTATCAGACAAAGCCACTGTAATCCCAAGATAAGTTATTAAAATGATCAATAGATTGTCTTGAAAAAGGTGAATAAACATTTTAGAAAAGAAATCAGGATAGCGAATGTATTCAGGAAGCATGTATTCTAGAAAATTAGGCCTTGAGACATATTCTTCCCTTATGACTCCATATTTTTATTCCATAGCTGAGTTAGGGGAGTAAGAAAGTGAGAAGACTCACTCTAAATAAACTATTTTTTCCTTAATCTCTTTCCCATCTTCTTATCTCTAGCATCTACTACTGCACATTCCTAGATTGTGGTAGGAGACAGGAGAGTAAGTTAAAATAAACTCAAAAAGAAATTTTTTCTTTGATTAACTCAGTCCATTAAAGGTCATTAAGGGAACATACACATATACACATATACACACACATGCAATGCAATGCAATAATACATTTTCCCAAGTTGCAGAATGTCTAATTGGGGAAATAGGTAAAAAGTGCTGTAACATCACGTAGTAAGTATCACCATGCACAAATTCAGGAAATATCATTTAAACACAGAGCGGGTATACACAAAAGGTATACCAGCTATCCAAGGAAGACAGGAAATGCTGAGCAGCACTCTGCTTGACCTACTATTTTGCAATTAAACTGAATGAATGGCAGTTTACAGATTGTGGCTTAATGGTCCAGAATTTAGATGTACTGCTTTGTTTCTGGCAGTGATCTTAGCCCACTAAATACTTGCTGAAATGATAAATCTCTCTGGTTCCCACAGTAATTGTGACTGAATATAGATCAAATATATAATTGGTGCAAGGACTAATGTATAATCTCTTGTAATGTCTGAAAGCTTACAAATTTCACTGCCTTTAATAAGTGTGAATTTTTGTTGTAGTGATTAGTTTAGTATTATACTGGATTTGTGCACCAAATTATTCACTGAATCAGACTTATGAACTCTAGTACTTTCTAATGGTTAAACATATTTAAAAGTAATGATTTCACCAGTAGTGTGCACTACAAAAAAAGTCAGACATACATACACAAAAACCAAAATTTGTTAAAGTGGGTGGTCATAAAACCTACTGCATGAAAAACTGCAAACTGTGATTTAGTTGGAATTGCAAGAGTAGTAGCAGGGGATGATAATGGTAGGGTTAGGGTCAGGGTGTGAATGTAATGAGTGTTGGAGAAGAAACCACTTAATGTGTCCACACTTTTAAAGGTAATTTTTAAAATATCTTTTTATCAACTAATTTACGACTTTAACCCATTCAAGCTTTCCTTCCACTGGCACAATTCTTAAAAAAAGAAAAAAAAATAGCTATTGAATCTTTATTCTCAAGGGCATTTGAATAGCAAATTTATACTTAAAATTCAACATATCAATGATATGTTTGCAATCAAAGCAATCTGTGGAATTTAGATATCCCACACATTTTTAAATGTTTTGAACTAGTATTCTTTTCTTGGACCCTTATTTTGTGTGTCTAAGTACATTCATGGTCTGTAGTTCATACGCTTCCAACTCCCAGTGGGTCTGTCTTATCTGTGTTCAGCAAACTGGAAGCTAGCTGGGATGTCTCCTAGATAAGGACATTAGCATGTAAATTTTAATCATAGTAACATCTATTCATTACTAAATTATGTAGGAGATTTCAGAACAGTGTAAAGGGAATCTGGTGACCCAAGTTATATTTCTGGTTATGACACTAACTGTTTGAGACTGAGCAAATCACATAACATTACTCTTAAACTGTTTCCTTATCTGTCATATTAACCCATGGGAGAAAAATTTGATTTCCAAAGCTGGATACAAAAGTCCATGATGATATGTTTGCTGCTAAGGACATGGTTGACTTTTCCATTAAGCCCAGTAGGCACCCAGCTGAGTGCCCATGATACTTTTGGAGGCCCATGAAAATGATTTAATTTATTTTAAAATAAAAAACTGAACTTTTAGATGAAAGAAAATTATCTAACATATAATATTAATATATGGCTCTTTGCTTAAATGCAGTTGTAAAATGTATTTTCTTTCTTCTTTTATTTTTTTAAGAAAAAAAAAGCCACATATACAAACTGCCTAGGGCCCATCAAAGACATAACCCAACACTGTCTACAGTAGAAAAAATTGTGGCTAAAGGATTAGCTGCTTTGAACTCCACATTGTATCAGACCTAGACCTAAATCTGTTTTTGAACTTAGTCACCTTAGAAGTGTCATGCAAAATAATTTTATTTCCTTAATGTATATATTTCTTTTCCCCCCTGAGCTTTGCACATTCTTTCCTTTTCTTATAACCCATTACATACCTATGACCCATTATGTCAATTCATGAAACGCACTTTCTCTCTTGTGTTGCCACAACTCATTTTAACTCCTGTCCTTGTTTGCAAACACGTACATCTGCATGCATGTACAGAACACACACACACACACACGCACGCACGCACACCGACGCTCTGCTCTTTCATTTGTGCCAGGTAGGATGTGGTTTCCTCCAAAAAGATTTCTCAGACCACCCGTGTTTGGATTAGGTGCTCTTTTCATGGATTCCCATTGTTAATTCTTGGATTGTGAGAACCACTTCAATTTTGTTTACATTTTACAGATTCCACACAACAGAATTCATGGCTCCATTGAGATAGAGCTTCATAGACATTGCTGAAGGAATAATTCTCAGCATCAATGACCCTATTTATAGAAAGAAAATCCCAAACATGCTCTGTTGAGATGTGAAGAAAAAAACACAATGATTTCTTCAATAACTGGTTCACTGAGGTGTTCACTGTATTATAGCTCAATAATTGAAGGATTTACACAACTAATAACATGTTTCGGATTCTATATTCTATATTTTGGGATTGATCCCTTTAAGAATCAAAAAATGGATATTAGAAAATGAGGAATAAGTCTTGTATTGTCTTTTTTGATAAGTTGAAAACTACAATGTAAGTACAATTTAGAATTGAGTCAGGCATTTGAAAAAATAAAGAATTAATTACAATCTGGCCCCTTTCTGCCCTCAGGAAAATGAAATTTAACTAATGGAACATTATTCCAATTTTATATTTCAGCTACACATGCATAATTTAGGAGATAATCCTTTTTTTATAAAATGGGACTACACATAGAGATAAGACGGGCCATCTAAAAGTGGGTTTTTAGTATTGTGCAAATATTAAACCATAATTAGAGTCAAAAATTAGTGCTGATAAGTTTTTTTCTGCTTCTTATTCTTAACCTTGACTATCTCACAAATACGTGCCACAAAGATTTGTCTTATGATTCCTGTGCTTATCCTTGCGTAAAGATCTATATTTATGCATTTAAGTAGATTGTTAATGGCCAGTCTTATATCTCCATGTTTATACTTTTGATTGCTTTTCACCAATGAGTGTCATGTATGTTTTTGCACCTTCAGGTATAACAGCAGAAACATATTTTGCAGAACAGTTTATGCCAGTCTGATGCATGTTCTACACATTCTCATAGTTGAACACACTAAAGTGCATAGTAAGTTAGTTTACACACCATTCATTAGTACATGCACAAATGGTTTTCTTAGAAGTAACTTAGAAGAAAAATAATCTTTAATGGATTCTTTCTCCAAGCTGTGGCTCTTTTTCTTGATGTCCTAATAATAATGAATTAAGTGAACAATGACAAACCATCTTGGGAAGGAAATCCTAATAATCTCCCAAACTCTCTCTTCCTATCTCTTCACTCATTGTTTTACAGAAGCAGTTCAAGTCCTGGATCAAAGAAAACTGGGTACCAGATGGCTTTTATACGAACATCTTTAAGTAACCCTCAGAGCATTCTTGCTACCATTCTCCACATAATGAAATAAATCCTAGCTACAGTAAAATGAGACTTTCAGGAGGCAGCAGGTGCAATGTCACATCTGTATTAGCACTGCTAACTTGCTTGTGGATCAAGTTACATTTGGGACTGTCACATTTGCTGCTGAGTTAAAAAGGTTGCTCAGAGAGTAGCAAGAACTCTTGGATGCTATTCTTTAGCCTATTAGCAGGGATCTTAGAGATAATGGCCACATGAAGTTATGTGCCTCATTCAACAATCCTCTTTATCCCTGCCATATGTTTTATCTACCCACTGACCCCAAATTTATATGGTTGATATCTGGTTTTGCAAATTATCACATAAAGATGTTAGCACGTAGTATAGCTGGAGAAGTGTATTACCAGTTTGTGTGCAGGTCACATTCCTAGAGAATAAAACTAATTTCAAACGGTTTTGCTTGAAGGAGATAATTTTAGTCTCAAAAGAATAGCAAGGACCAGAGCTTCTTGGGATTCTTTCTGCATTGATAACAATCCTAGCAATGGTTGATAACTTATCTAAGACTACCAAACCTTTGTGTTGTATATTTCATTCAACAGTGATATATTGATTGCCTTTTTGGTTAATGTCTTATGTGAGTTCTGTCATGTTAAATACAAATAAGATATAGGCATAAAATGGTCCACCTTTTTTTTTTTTTTAGGAACAACAAAGCAAGTTTCTTTCGTATTGAAATGTTTTACAAATAATTATAATATTCAATCCAATTTAAAAATACTTGTTTAACACTTTGCATTATTCTCTATATTGCTAGCTTTGCATGGACGACATAAAACCCTGCCTCAAACTTACAGTCTAAATAGAAATACATATGCAGAATACTTAAAACAGAGTGATAAATATTCAATGTAGAATTATACATTTTCTATGACAATAGAGCACAGTAGGTAATGTGTAATGAACTCTTGGATAATATGATCAAGCATATGGACTCATATTATTTGAGTCCTTAGTGTAATGCTTTGATTCAATTATCTCACATGGTGCTTTAGACTAGATGCATAAAATGGTATCAGCTGAATAAAAAGGAAGTATTTAGTATGCATTTAGTATGCACTGACTCATTTTAATTGTATAAACACATCTGAAAAATTTTCCTTTATTTTTCAGTGTTGAAATGTTATTAGACTGTATTTGGTCTATGAAACTTTAAAAGGATTAAAATTATCCATCTCTAGGGACTTTTATATCTATAATCTTTAGCATTTTCGATTACTCTTATAAATAATATATATATTTTTAAAAGCTGGTACATTAGGATCCTAATCAACATAATAAATTGACTGAAGAAGGACTAATTCCTTTTATTAGCCAAGAATAGATTGTAGCTTAATTGATCATCTGTGATGTGTGGAGACTTAATTAGTAATTGAGATGTGCCAAAATGCCCATTATATTATATTCTGTGATCTGCTGTTCTTGGCTGCCTATATAATAAAATTAACAGGTTATAGAGAAAATAATATTTGTGATAAGTATTTCAGAAGAATAATGAAAGTCCTGTAATTGTAAAAATGAAATGAGACCCAGTGAGACAAATGCTTTAAAATGAACATATAAAGAAAAACATAGTTGACAGCATGATTAAGAGAAAAATTGCTATCCTATCTACTGTAGCTTGAAGCAAACAAACTCCTCTGGTTAAAAAAACGTGGAAAAAGGCCTTAGAGTACTTAGAAATAATGTTTTGATCTTCTGACTGCAGTCGCCATATAGCTTATATTCCCCTCATTGTAGTAGGCTACGTATCTGGGGGCTGAAGCACTAAATAGGAAAAAGTTATAAAAACATTCTGAGGTTGATTTGAGGTCTGAGGGAGGTCTACAGCTTTGCCAGTCAAAGCACATGGTCCGCCTGCATTGGCATTATAGGTGAACATATTAGAAATGTTGCATCTTATGCCCCACACCAGACCCACTGAATGAGAACATAGATATCTAACAAGTGACCCAGGAGTTGTGAATATATATTAAAAGTGGAGGAGCACTGGTCTAAAGGAAATATGGGATTGCAGAATGGCTGAAGGATGTTTTAATAATTCTTAAAGTTCATAGGATATTCATATTAAATTATTTTTGATATTAAAATAAAGAAATGTAGTTTTGAAAATATTTTCCAAAAATAAAATTAACTGGGACTGAAATTATAGAATTTCATTAATTTTAGCATTTTTAGTCAGAGAGGTAGTTTAATAATAGTTTCAACCCACCTGATTCCTTTTCATTATAATTCTGTTAATAATTTCAAGCAAGCACAACAGCTCCCTTATGTAATATTTTTATATCCTAAAATTTAGCTTTTATTTCTCATCATAAATAGTCCAACATATTTAGAGAGGCTTTTATAAATATCAGTTAATTAAAGAGACATATACTGATACATCTGTATATACCACTTTTTACTATTGAGGAAAATTCAATACGTTTCAAATCACCTGGATATTATTCAGAATTGTCTATTAGTGGGGAGATAGTTTATACATATAAGAAGTTACATATCAGGGTTGAAATTAAAACAACTAGAAATATTACAAAATGATGTTTTAAAAATTATCTGGTTTCGGATATTGAAATGAAATATAAAGTTTTGATGTTAATCTTCCCAGTGGTAGACATGTTCAAAAATTTTAATTGATTTGAGCCTTGGAGAAGTGGGCTTCAGAAAATTAATTTAGCTAACACCCTGTAGGATATATTTTAAATAAGAAAGATTGAGGTTAAGGAAAACGGCCGTTAGTAGTTATTGTATGCTGTTTGCATGAAATGATAATCGTTTAAAATAGTGTGATGACACACTGACAAAAAAAAAAGACAGCTGAGAGCCATAGGGTGGAAAAAGCAGCAAAGCAATGCATTGACTGACCATGTAAAAGGTACACTTGGCTAAATGGAAATGCCAAAGATATTCTGTAATTTGGGTTAGGTTACTGGAAGGATGATTATTAGTGATATTTATACTAAAGTCACAATGTTTTGAAATATCTAATATGTAGGCTCCTAGTTACTTAGAACATAACTAGGAAGAACTAACTGCAGAGAAATTAAATGTTAGATTTGTTTCATATAATTTTCTATTTTTATTTAACCGTGTCATTGTTCAAAATGTTTTTGTCAAATACTGTAGTCTTTATGTAAAATGTATTTTATATACTTTCTAATTATCTTGCATCAGTATTAAATAATGCATTTTACTGGGGATTCTTCAGGACATTTATCATTAAATAATTGAAACTAGAACAATAACAAAGGAAATGATCTCATGCATGTGGGGTCCAATTATTCAATAGCAACTTTTATAGCTATAGTCCCCACCTACTCTTTTCCAAAACATTGGTGAGTAGGCTTTTCACACTAGGGAAGGTTATAACTGTATTGAAAATGATCACCAATGCATCATAGAATTGCTGACAATTTTTAAAAATGTAAAAAGAGATGAAATGAGAATGACTGTTTCTTCAATAGGTTTTAAAGCTTTTGTAGAAGAAAGCAGAAACCCTCACTTACACAAACTCTCCCCTGCCTCTTGGGAATAGAGTACATTTCTGGAGAATACTGTCTGGCACATCCTAATACATATAAAAGCCACTATTTTGGTAAATGTTCCTATTACTTAGAATCCAATCAATTTGAGTTCCAGTGCTTTGTGATGTAAGACCATTTTATGCATCAGATAATTTCTAAACTCCAAGTAGAGTATTACATGACATATTGAAATACAATTTCCATCTATCATGCTGTACGTCTTCAGGCATTGTGGACGACTCCACTGTCATTTAATACACTCAAGGGAGGCACTGCTTCACTATTAATCTTATTTCTTTGAAACATTTATATTAACTTTTAAATCTTCTTAATAATGAAACAAAAAGTAAAGAGATTGCTAACAAATTACTGTGGATGTAAGCATAAATGTAAAAGCAGGAGTACTTATAATGCATTGCCATATTAGAGAAGTGAAACTCAATCCTTTTGGTTCTCAAATCACTTTCTATAACACATACTTTATTATATCCTGAAATAAAATCCATACATATTAGGAAACAAAAGACAATAGACACACACACACACACACAAAACAAAATAAGTATGTTCACAATATTATAAGTGAAGAATAATATAAAAATTACTGTAATTCAAAAATATATATCTCTATACATAAATGCTTGGGCACAAAAACATATAGCAGGTAATGGTAGTCAAATATTTGCATTGACTTGCAATTCATTCATTCATTTACTCATACATTCAAACTGTTTATTGAACATCTATTATAGACAAGATTCTTTTTTATACACTGTGATACAGTGATGAAGAAAAGAGTAAAATTATCTTCCTACATGGGATTGTAGAAGAAAAACAGAATATGTACACAATAAATAAATAAATAAATAAAATACATGGAGTATACTGGAATATATGAAATGTCAGGGGTGGTTTTAAAGAAAGACCTGAAGGAAACAGAGGATCTAGCTAAGTGAACATCTACAGGAAAATCATTCTAGGCACAGAGAACAAGTAGGAAGTTGCTGGTTAAGGAAGGGAGCATGTAAAATGTATTGCATGGTGAAGCAAGAAGGACCCTGTGGCTGGAGAAGAGTCAGTTTAGGGGGATGTGGTGGAGGGTTAAAGTGAAACATGGTCAGAGAGGTGGACAGCAGTGATGAAATTGAGTGCAGTATTATTGGACAGATTTTGGTTTCCATCACAGTGGGATAAGAAACCACTGGAGTGTTTTGTGGAAAAAAAAATGACATGATCTGACTTAAATTTTAATGGATTTCTAAGGAAATTTTGTTGAGAAAATAGTGGCACGGAGGGTGTAGAGAACAGTCAGTAGGCTGTTACCATAGTCAGCCTGGGGTATAGTGGAGTTCTGGACCAGGCAGTAGAGGTAGTTAGAAGCAGATTATCTGCTGGATTTAATTATATTACAAATTGGTTCACTGTAGTAGTGATTACTTTCTACTCAAGGAAACTCTAGGTGTTCCCCAGGCTAACCTAACAGGGAAGAGAGGAGAGCACTTCAAAGGAAGGCATTCCTAGTTTTCTCATTTGTTTTGTTTTGTTTTGTTTTGTTTGTGCCTTTACTTTTACCTCTGAGTAGGATTAAATTTGAAGAAATGATGCTGCTGTTTAAAAACATTAAAATATAAAATTGCACAACAGAAGGCGTGATTCCTGTAGGTTATTTAAATCAGTTTTGTTTTCAAAATTATAATTTGCATTAAATTACTCTGAAAAAATTGACATGCAGAATGAACTATATCTCCTGTGTATATAGCAATGTAATTACTAAAAACTGTTAAAGTGCCAAAAGAAAAAAAAGCCTAATAATGTCCTTTCTTTAGAATTTGGTGGAAATAAACATTTACAATTATATTTTTGTACATTGTAGACATATTGCTAGACAAGTAATATTTCTCAAAGCTATCCGTTATTGTATGAAAAATAAAGAAAATGAATGTTTTGGTTGTTATTAATAAACTATTGTCACTTTAAATTTTAAATGAAAAGTAATAATGATAATGTTGTCAACTAACTTTTTTTGTTTGTTTGTTTGTTTGAAGCTTTGGGAAACATGAACAAAACATTGATGAAATGTTGGAAACCAGTTGAAACACAGTAAAACCAACTGGGTAAAATAGGACCACTTCTCTTCATCTACACTGGGATTTGTCAAGAAGTGAACTATGACAATACATCAATTTTTGCTACTGTTTCTATTCTGGGTATGCCTGCCACATTTCTGCTCTCCAGAAATAATGTTCAGAAGGACGCCTGTGCCACAGCAAAGAATTTTAAGTTCACGTGTACCAAGGAGTGATGGCAAAATTCTCCATCGTCAAAAACGTGGTTGGATGTGGAATCAATTTTTCTTACTTGAAGAATATACAGGATCTGATTATCAGTACGTAGGCAAGGTAAGCTTGTGTTAAAATGGCACGTGTTTATATTTGCTCTTTATATATTTTACTGATGAAAATTTGAAGGTCATCAAACCATCATTTTTATAAATCTGATTCTTTAAATCTCCCTAAAGGATTTTTGTTTATGGAACACGAATTCCAATTTGATAAAAACTGTGGAATGAATATAAAATGATAAATGCATAAATTTATTTATTAGAATTAATTCTGCCCAATAACTTATGGATTAAAGAGGTACTCAAAACTGCAATTTTAGAATTTATGGTTAGAAAGCAATGATAGTGAGAAACCTATATGTAAATACAGTCATTTAAATGAAAATACATATGTGTATATATATATATATATATTTCACATTGCTATTGAGTTCAGTGAGGAAGCAAAAACATTTCAAAGTTGTTTAATCTTCTACAGAACGAGAAAGCAAATGTCATCAAAATATGATTCAAGGACAAAAATGTTGCTTATTATAAGAAAATTTATTCTAGGTATGAATGTTATTTATTTTTCTTAGGTCACACTATGGGTGCATTTGTATAAAGAAAAACGAATAGGAAGAAAAGCAAGTAAAAATAGTTTAGCTACTGCAATATGAGGTGGACAGGAAGAGTTTTCATTCTACAGAATTATAAAGTTAGTGAGGATAATTAGTTGTGGTTGGAAATGAAATGAGAAGCTTAACATAAAAGTACTAATGAATGCTTTTACACACTATGTTGTATTCAGTTCAAATTTTCTTTCTTGACGCTATCTGAATCTAATTGAAGTTAGATAAAGGCTTAGTTGACTTGAGAGCTTACAAAAAAATTCATTTTAATAGTCAATATTATTATTTTTATAGATTGTGAGACTATGTCATAGGAATAAAAGGAAATTAAGTAGACTAACATAAATCACATGTTAACACTACACAATTATCATGCATACATCACTGCCTTGACAATTCTTGCATTAACCTTAACTATAATATCTTCATTCAAATAATTAAAATTGTGTGAAAGATTTTTTCTTCTAAAAACCCTGTTTTTGAGACAACATTTTCAGTGATTTTAAAACACTGATATGTTTTGTCATATTGCACTCATTTCAGACCTTTTAAAATATCTGGTAAAATGAGAAAGATGATATTAAAGGTTAAATATCATGTTGACTAGAAAGAAAAGGAAAAGAAACAGCAACCAAAGGAATCTTACCAGAAAGCACAAAGTAGCAGGCTTTTCATAGATCTTATTGATTTAAAGCCTGGGAATAGAGAGTGAAGGTTGCTCTCATAGACAACTTTTAGTTTATGAAACTAACTGCTTAGAAAGATAATAACTGAAATCTGGGCTGTAGAAACTAGTACATAGCAGTTAGCTTGTTTGCATCTATTTCCCTTCATCTAGTACTTTATGATGATCTAATAAATGTTGGTAAATTGAATTATCATTACATTATATACTCTCATAGTCAAGCTACTTCTTATTTTTTATTTTTATCTCATAAAATATCAACACCTTGAAATCAAGAACTGTACTTCATATCTCTTAGAGTAGTAAGAGAGTATTAAGCTCTTAGAGTAGATCTTAATAACTATTTAGCTGACTGAATCAACCTGAGTCATATTAAATTGAATTCCCTCTGCCATCTGGTGGCATTTGGCTCTTTGGCAGAGAAGACTAGTCTAGAAGTTGTAATCACTGAAGACAATTAAGTTGGTAAACTTAATATATATGCATCTTGATATACAACTCAAATTTTATGCTTCATACTCTGCTTTATGAAAACAAATTAGAAAACTCTTTAATGAGTGTTGGTGTAAGGAATTTATGAATGTGTTCATCAGTTCTTTTCCATGTAGACTGTGCTGAACTACTAGAGTTAACAGAAATGATTTAGGTGTTGTAACTCTCACACTTCTCTGAGTCTGCTTTTAATGGCCAGAGTGTCTAGATTTTAGCTCACATTTCAATCAATTTTGTAGTTTCTGTGGTTTATTCATGTCATAATCTGTGAAATAGATGCTTTAACATTTTTTGTCTATACTATACTATTGTATTAATTGCCTTATTATTTGTATTACATTAATTACTTATACAATTACAATCTTATTTAAGAGATAAACATACACATGATATGACAAAAAGGCAATGTTTAACATATGATATTTTAATAAACAAACATTACAATAAATATAACTTGAGGCTAAAATATATTTTCCTCATGAAGTATAAAAAACTTAAAATCCCCCACATATTCTCTCCATCATTATTTATAAGGAATTTATCACAGTCATATTTTCTTTCAGAAATTATTCCGGTTTTTACATCCTTTAAAGTAGACATGTGATATGGTGATAAGTGTTTCAATGCCTCTGGGTTGGTTTAGATGTCGGAGTAATATGTGTTCCAATCACTAGACATATGGAAACATGGTGACAGGTATCTCTCTGTAGTGGGGAATATTTTGGGAGCTCACAAAGCACTCTCCCACTAGCAATGGAGAGACTTACACTGGTTTGATGAGGACAAGACTAAAAAGCACCTGTGTGGAGCAGAAGAAAAAATTTTTTAAATACCTAAACAATTAGCTAACCAGACCCTAGGAAGAATTGATGCCTATAATTTCTCAGATAGAAACCCATTACTGCTATGTGGTTAAAGCAAAACGAAAATCCCATTACTGCTCATTGGGTTAAAGTAGAGAGGAGCTTAAGAAAACATACAACTGTCAATCAGAAAACCTAGAATGTGACATTGTTTTTGCCACTGTTTCTCTCCCCTTGGTTTATCAACTTCTCTTGGCCTTCATTTTCTTATCCATGAAATCAAAGGTCATGATTATAGTGTATTATATACACTAATACACTAACATAATATATACTATATATAGATACTAAATAATTTCTATTATTGTACTCACTTCTAATAATATTACATTATAAATATAAATTATATGTGTATTTAAAAACTCATTTAGAAAAAAAAAATTAAGAGGAGGAGAGAGAAAGGGAACGGAGAGTAATAAAGCCCATTGGCTAATTGTCACTGCCACCACTCCTTTTGTTTTGTAAGAAACAAAGTCAACCATGCTCAATTCAAAACATTTATTTGTTGAGATCGCCATAAATAGAAGCATTTTCCTGTAAATCATTCTGTTAAATGCATTCTAAACAAAAATATATTTAGTGTAAGAGCTTTCTTTTTCCATTTTTTCCATGATCTAATCATAACACTGACCTTTAAGAATCTTCCTGTATACTGGAATTTATTGGAATATGTAGGTATTTCCTATATACTCACTCCCCTCTCTTTATCTTCCAAGGCAAGAGCTTCACATGTTGAACTTCAAGGAACCTACTTTTGAAATATGTTACCTCCGTAGTGAAACCTTCTATAAATATTTTAAAATTTCCAAATTTAAATTCAAGGAACATTGCGATTATAAACTCCTATTTTTTATTAGTTTAATATCTTTTTACATGTAGTTTCTAATCAGTTTCCTATTGCTCAGTCCAGTTGCGTTGAGCAGATAATTTCAAATTCTTCAGCTTCCATATCTTCAAATCTAAAGTAAATAATGATATTAAACTGTAAAGCCTTGAATTTACTTTTAGTTGTAACAAATATGCAGTTCTAAGCAAATCACTAATTCTATATTTACTGCACAAACTTTGTCTATATTTAATATTATAATTAGTCTCAGGTGGTAAAAAGCATGTTAAAAACAGATTTTAATCAAAACCAAAAATTGAGAAAAATCCCAAAACACCAAAAAAAAAAAATCAGTAACATAAAGGGGCAACCATAAATCTGATTCTAAGTCAGTATAGTAAAATCTCTCTTGCCTTTTCCTAACAGTACTAATTTTATTTCTTCATGGCTTCTTACTTCTAAATATGCTGTCAATACTTCTAAATATGCTCTCAATTATATTCTTCCCTTCAGAGTTACCATTACTGTTTGTTTCCCACAGTGTAGACTTCTAACAAGATCTCCTGACCTCCTGTTTATGTCCAGTCTTAAAGCATATATTTTTCTCCAGCCTCGTGGTCATCCTTCTCTATAGACTTGTCGGCTCCAAACACCCACTATGCATGAAGTGTTTATTCCTTCTTTCAGCAAATATATGGAGGACCTTCTAGGTACCACTCCAGTATTATGCACACAGTGGGGAAAATATAAGCTCTCTGCTCAAAGACAGCAAATAATAAGAATAACAGCAAGTTATGGGGCCCTTTTGTTTCAGATATAGCACAGACTCCAAAACCAAGAACAAAACAATAGTCAACAAATATTCCCATGTCCTATTTCTGCAGTACTTGTAAATACAGTGAAAATAAAACAGTTTGAGGGTTTTTGCTGTACGAATCAATGTTACTAAATGTTAAGATTGAAGACTCAAAAAGCATGTTTTTATTGTTTTATTGATCTGTTTATTCCTTGGGAATGTATTTTTGCTGTGAAATACCTCATAAGGAAATTATAATTGAAAATTTCTAGAGGATCTCTCTGAAACTGTAGAAACTGATCCATGAGAGACTAACTCAAATTTAAATATCAATAAAGCCCAGAAATAGCAACTGTGTCCACCAGGTTAGACTGTGTCCCTTTTACTTTTGATAATATGGACACAGTCATGTCAACTGGCCACAGCTGGAGAAGGAGTAGCTGGAATGAAGTCGGAGGAGAAGCTGTTCTGACCTCCACCACTGCAGACTTCCTAGGCTAAAATAAATCTCAAGTGCACAAGTGGAAAATCTTTGCATTATATGAGAGTTCAGTATGTAGAAAACACTCTACTTCATAACTGAAATGAGACTGTTCTTGAGACTAAACGTTCCCAAGTAATTTAAAAAAATTATCCAAACATGACCAAAAGGACCTACATAAAAAACAACTGTTTACTAAATATAAACCTGCTTTTAGTGGTTAGATGGGGTAGGGGATACAGGGATATTGGGACACAGTTATTTTTTATTTGAACCATGTCCATTGCAACCATATAATGAATAGGACATGAAGAGATAAATGCATTAGGAAATTTTACTTAGAAAAATTTCTGGAAAACATTAATCAGGTTGATGTGATAGACATTGACAGAGACTCCTTTGGGTTAAATGATTATAAATATCTTCCTGATGAGTGGACATTTGCATGAATATAGACATTACTTCTCTAATATGTAAAGATCATACACACATGCAAAATGTAAACCTATATTAAAATCTCTAGGGACTTCAAGTAAGAAGTAATAAAAGCATTTATAGAGGCATGTCTTGCAGAAAACTGTGATAATATCTTCAGAGCAGACCACCTCTTTGTTTTTAATTCTCAAAACGCATACAATGTATGTATCTCTCAATACAATAATATTTTAGCTAGCAGTTATGTAGGGAAAATACATCTTCAAATCTCACTATATCATTTTAGCAAAGTATTCAGGAAAATCCTGAATGCATACATTTTGCACTCAAAATTCTCTGTCATAAATTTGAAAAACTTTATTCCATCAAAATATTCAAAGTAAAATAAAACATTTATATCTATAATTTAGCCAATCATTTTTTCACATACAGAATTTTTAAAATATATAGTCAAGAATATTAAGATTATATGAAAATGGAGTCAGTGATTTTTAGTAAAAGCTCAAGAGAAATCTTGGTAAATGAAAACTGTATTAAATCTCACATAAATTTTGCTCTGCAGAAGGTATCTCAATATAATTTATCAATACTTCATATTTGCATAATTCACATAATTCACACAAGTACATATGTAATGGCAATGAAGCATGGTTATTATTAATATGATATTATGAATATCTACCAGAGCTCTCTCATTTTCTTTCTTGGAGACAATACATAATTATATGTGCAATTAAATTTTGTACCCATTGTATTGAAGAATAATGCTCTTTTCTATAAAGTAAATGAAAGAGAGGGATGTTTGTTATTGTGTTTGCTCATCAATGTCTCATAATTGGCATATGTTCATATATTCATATTCTCACTTGTTTCATATGAAAGCATGAATAGGAGGGAGCACTTTAATAAATTTCTTAAAGTAAATTCTTAAATAGTCACTTCATATAGCTAAATGTCTACATCCATTTTATTAAAGAATATGGGCGGCCGGGCGCGGTGGCTCACGCCTGTAATCCCAGCACGTTGGGAGGCCGAGGCGGGCAGATCACGAGGTCAGGAGATCGAGACCATTCTGGCTAACACGATGAAACCCCGTCTCTACTAAAATTACAAAAAATTAGCCGGGCACGGTGGCGGGCGCCTGTAGTCCCAGCTACTCGGGAGGCTGAAGCAGGAGAATGGCGTGAACCCGGGAGGCGGAGCTTGCAGTGAGCAGAGATCGCGCCACTGCACTCCAGCCTGGGCGACAGAGCGAGACTCCGGCTCAAAAAAAAAAAAAAAAAAAGAATATGGGCTATCTTATTGTTTTACTATTATTATTATTGTTATTAATCACTGAACTGTGTTCCATGACTCCTGGTAATTTTAATTAAGAGTTAACATAGACTGGATGCAATGACTCTCGCCTGTAATCCCAGCACTTTGGGAGGTCAAGGCGGGTGGATCACCTGAGGTCAGGAGTTCGAGACCAGCCTGACCAACATGGCGAAATCTTGTTTCTACTAAAAATACAAAAAAATTATCCGGGCATGGTAGTGTATGCCTGTAGTCCCAGCTACATGGGAGGCTGAGGCAGGAGAATCGCTTGAACCCGGGAGGCGGAGGTTGCAGTGAGTTGAGATTGCCCCAATGCACCACTCCAGCCTCGGCAAAAAGAGCTAAACTCCGTCTCAAAAAAAAAAAAAAAAAAAAAAGGAGTTAATAAAGCATGTAAATTTTCAGGTAGGTGGATTAAAATTGAGAGGGGAGCAGCAACTTTGTTAAACTATAACTTAAAACCTTTGCTTCTCTCTTTAGAGCTCTAATCCACAGTAGGCAAAGGGAATTTAATGTAAATTTCAGATTCCCCCTTTAGCAAAATTATCTCACTAACTTCATGTTTAAAAATATACTATGCATTTATAGATTACATAAAGCTATTAAATGTAGAACTTTGAATTAAAATGTTAAATCCTAGCCCAAGATTAGAGGTATATTATCAAGTAGGAAATTGAGCTGTAAGAATGTATACTATTATATCAAATTTTCTAAAGGAATTTAAATTTGGCTGCAGTTTAGCTTAACTTACATCATCAAATTTCTCAGCATTCAGTGGTGTCATTTTCAAATACCACCCCAAAAAATGTGCAAGACGACTGAGCTTTTTCAATTTTCTTTGACACTCCTCTGTCGCTATTTGCAAGTCTGCATCATAGGCTTAGCACCAAATCTAGTTTGTTTGATTTTCCTGAGTCTAGCAGAGCGGAGGGACAGAACTGTGAATCATGAGAGGACTAGGCTTCCGCCCCTGTGATAACTGAGCTTCTGAAGGGACACAATAAAGAGAAAAAAACAAAAATCTAGGAAATGACCTTTGATTATGTTTACTCCTAGATGTAGAGAAAATCCAAGAAAAAGTATGTTTGGGCTGGGAGCGGTGGCTCATGCCTGTCATCCCGGCACTTTGGGAGGCTGAGACAGGTGGATCACCTGAAGTCAGGAGTTTGAGACCAGCCTGGACAATATGGTGAAACCCTGTCTCTACTAAAAATACAAAAAATTAGCTGGGCGTGGTAGCAGGAGCTTGCAATCCCAGCTACTTGGGAGGCTGAGGCAGGAGAATTGCTTGAACCTGGGAGGCGGAGGTTGCAGTGAGCCGAGATTGCGCTACTGCACTCCAGCCTGGGTAACAAAAGCTAAACTCCGTTGTTGTTGTTGTTGTTTTTTAAAGAAAAAGTATGTTTGTGTGTTGGTGGAGGGAAGGAGACTATGACCCTTCTAGAGGCCAAAGAAGCAAAACGTTCCAAGGAATTGATGACTGATCTTGTTGAGTGATACAAACTCATTACAGGGACAGATGTAGCAATTTCGAGATCAGTGTGGACCCAGGAGAGACTAGTTGTAATAATCTGGGCAAATGAGAATAAGATGGCTTTGAGCTAGACTGGAAGAAGCCTACTTGCTAGGTTTTCAGAGTCGTATTATTAAGATTAAAAATTAAGTGGGCCGGGTGCAGTGGCTCACGCCTGCAATCCCAGCACTTTGGGAGACCGAAGCGAAGATTGCTTGAGACTGGGAGTTCGAGATCAGCCTGGGCAACATGGCAAAACACTGTCTCTACTAAAAATAGAAAAAATTATCCAGGCATGGTGGCACGTGCCTGTAGTCCCAGCTACCAGAAAGGGTGAGGTGAAAAGATCACCTGAGCCTCGGAGTTTGAGGCTGCAGTGAGCCAAGATCATGCCACTGCACTCCAGCCTGGATGACAGAGTGAGACCTTGTATCAGGGGGGAAAAAAAAAAGCTATATTTGAAATGATGAACAACTAGACAACCAGAAAGGTAAGATAAATTATGATGTGGATAGTAAAAAGGGATGTGAGGTCGGGCACGGTAGCTCACACCTGTAATCCCAGCACTTCGGGAGGCCAAGGCGGGTGGATCACTAGGTCAGGAGATCGAGACCAGCCTGGCCAACATGGTGAAACCCCGTCTCTACTAAAATACAAAAAATTAGCCAGACGTGGTGGCACGTGCCTGTAGTCCCAGCTTCTCAGGGGGCTGAGGAAGGGGAATCCTGTAAACCCTGGAGGCGGAGGTTGTAGTGAGCCGAGATTGTGCCACTGCACTCCAGCCTGGCAACAGAGCAAGACTCTCTCTCTCTCTCTCTCTCTCACACACACACAAAAAAAAAAAAAAAAAAAAGGAAAAGAAAGGATGTGAACGTGAACATCAGGTGAGCTCACTCTTTTTGTTAAAAATTGTAATTAAATATAACTATTAAGCTCAAAGTCACCATCATACATAATCAGAAAAAAAAGACATGCTAATTTAAATCACCAGTTTTTAAAAAGACCTTTCTCATCATCTGTATTTAACGTTCTTCTGGAAGAAAATATTGGTATAATTACTATCACATACAATTTTGGGGGTACAGTTAAATGAGATATATAATATTTTGAAACTTGATGTAGCCTGATAATGATACCTTTAAAGTTTATTTTATTATTTTAGGATTTCAACAACCTCATGAGGTAGTTCCAATTATCTTTCATTTATAATTAAGAAAAAAATATGTGCCTTCATTGTCTAAGTTTTCTAGTGGTAAGAATCAAGAAAGTTGTAAAAATGGACTTCTGACCCTGAACGTATGACTCCAGGATTAGAATCAACATTATACCTCATTCGCCATTATTAAGAATATTCTTGGCCGGGCACGGTGGCTCACGCCTGTAATCCCAGCACTTTGGGGGGCCGAGGCAGGTGGATCACGAGGTCAGGAGTTCAAGACCAGCCTGGCCAAGATGAGGAAACCCCATCTCTACTAAAAATACAAAAATTAGCTGGGCTTGGTGGCACATGCCTGTAATCCCAGCTATTCAGGAGGCTGAGGCAGAAAATTGCTTGAAGCCGGGAGGCGGAGATTGCAGTGAGTGGAGACTGCGCCACTGCACTCCAGCATAGGCAACAAAGTGAGACTCCGTCTCAAAAAAACAAACAAACAAAAAAGAATATTCTTACATTTATTAATATATATTACCACATCAAAACAGTTATATTTTTAAGTAGTGCACTGATTAATAAATTAGCAGATTTTTTTCTAGTTAAGTACAAAACTAAGATTGCATATGTAATAGAGCTATTTTGACTATTTCACAGAAAAATCCAATTAATTTTCATAGCCATTATGTGTTTATTATTTAATTTATATTTGGAATTGATGATGCATGCACTTTATACAGAAAAGGTATACAGTTAAAACTAAGATTCTCATCTTGATCCTCAGATATCCCTAGTTTTCTTCTTTAAAAATATATATATTTCCAGTTTTTTGTTACATATTCCAAGAGAAACATGTAAAGACGTGTGTTATCTTGTTTTTGGAAACATGGCAGTGTACTTTATGAGATGTGAGATGTTAATGGAATCTGCTTTTTTTTTTTTTTAACTAAAAAATGTAACCTAGGACTCACTGCATTACAGTACATAAAGATGTTTTTCTCTTTTTGAGTAGCTGAATAATATTCTTTCTAATGGGTGCACTGTAATTGTTTTAACATTTTTAAAGGACGTTTAGTTTTTTTAAAAAAAATTACTAATATAGCAATATGACAGGTGCTATTTGACACAGAGTTATATCTTTAGGAAATATGACTACAAGTAGAAACCCTGAAGCATAGTCTTGAAAAGTTTTAAACTTTGATAGGGATTTTATATTACTCTCCATTGAGGTTGTTTCAACCTAAACCAATGACTAGGAAAGTAACTATTTTTCCACATCTGTAGCAAATCACTGTATCACCATTATCATTTTTATTTATTTTGGTTTATAAGTGAAAAGATTTATGAGTGACATTTTATTGTTCATGCTAAGTGAGCATGAGCATCTATGTGTTTGAAGCATTTTGCGTTTTGCAAATGTGTTCAGATCCTTTGTCAATCTTTCTATTGACATGGTAGTGTTTTTTTTGATCCACAGTCTGTCTTTATTAATTGACCTTTATGTTTTAAAAATTTTTTAAATAATGCATATTTCAATTTACATAAAACATGTATACACTTTAACAAATAAATACAAATCAATGGATGTGTCCTCTCCCCAGGCCAGGAAATGGAAAATTTCTAGCCCCCAGGAATCCCTCTTTGTGGTGTATTAATAGCAACACCATTTTTCCTTCCAAGAGGTGCTATTAAGCTTTATTTTGTGATAATAGTGTCTGTTTTTCTTTATAGTTTGAATATCTATATAGGTATTTCTAAATAAAATACTAGAATTTTGGCTATTTTTGAAATTTAAGCATAATCATAGTTCAGATAATCTTTTGTCTTTCTTCTTTTGCCAAATATTGTTGTGTAGCGTATCTTTCTACATAAACGTATTTGAATTCAGTACAATCCTATTAATATGGATCACATATCAATGGATATGTTATGCAATATCAATGTGTATATGGAGTGGCCTCTTCCCCTAGTTTTCACTGTTACCAATAATGCTCCTACGATCATTTCTGTGCATGTATCCTGATACTCATGTACATTAGTATATAATCTGAAGTAAAATTGCTGTTCTATAGTATGAACCTAGCTTTAATCTTTTCAGAAGTTGTCATAGTACTTTCCTAAGTTGTAACCAGTAAAACTTCCACCAGCAGTGAATGAGTTCCTGTTATTTGATGTCAACATCTTAACTTCTTATTTTTAGAATTTTAAAAATATCTTTTTTATTCTCATTTTTCTCAATATCAGTAATCTTCCATCTTTGTAATTAAGTTTTTTTAGATCAAAACGTTTACTTTTTGTGTTACCAAAAATAAATCCAAGCAAATAATGAAATAAACACAATTTTTAAGGGTTCCATCCTGGGTTATCTGTTCTAGAATTTAGTAAACAGTTCAAGTTTCGGTTACTTTGACACTTCGTCTGGATGATTATAACCACGTATTGAAGTTTTTCAAGTGTTTTACCAATAGTTTCTTCAGGATGTCTATTGTTTTCTTGTGGATTGCTTCATTCACAAATTCATAACAGGCGTGGAACACCAAGTATTTTCTGGGCAATCTCTAGGTCACTTGGTCACATCACTGCATGGAAGGCAACCATCCTGTCCTCACGAAGCTTGCATTTTTAGTGAGAAATACAGGAAATTCAAAATAAATGTGAGACATATTATTCTTATAGTTGTTACAAATGTAAGTGCAATCAGAAAAGAAGAGATGTAGCAAGATAAGGAATATTGGGAATAGGGCAGAACAGGTCATGGTGATCAATGCTTCCTCACGGAGAAGGTGATATTTGAGCAAAGGACTGGAAGGAAGTGAATGAGACCAGCAGTTATCAAGGGGTTACTGTTTTCATGAAGAAGAAATAGTTACTGCAAATGCTTTAAAATTGAGAGGTTCTAGTGAATATTTGAGGAAAGCAAGGAGTCAACTGTAGCTGAAGCAAAGGAAGCAAGAGGAAAGTGGTAGGAGAAGAGGTTGGAAAAGAGGTAATGGGTCGGGGGGTGCCCAGAATCCCTAGGGTGTGGTAGACTAAATAATGGCCCCCAAGGATGGCCACACCCTAATCCTCACAACTGTGAGCATGTCACTTCAAATGTCTGAAGAGACTATGCAAATGTGATCAAATTAAGGATCTTGATGTGAAGCAAGTATCCTGGATTACATGAATGATCCCAACATAACTCATGGGTCTCTGTCAAGAGTGAAGCAAGAGAGTCAATTTTAGAAAAAAGAGATGTGACAATGGAAGTAGAGGTTGAAATGATGCACTTTGGAGATGAAGGAAGGGGACACAAGCCACAGAATGCAGACAGCTGGAAAAGGCAAGGAAGCGGAGTCTCCTTTGAAGCTTCCAGAAGGAATGCAACCCTATCATCTCCTTGGTTTTAGACTTCTGACATTTAACAGCTATAAGAAAATTAATTTGTGTTGTTTTAATTCATTGGGTTTGTGGTTATTTCTTACAATAGGAATAGGAAACTAATATGTAGGGTCTTATATAAATTCTGACTTTTACTCTATGTTACATGGGAAGATACTGTAGAATTTTTAGCAGAAGGTTGATATTATACTAACTAAGTTTTAACTAATGGATACTCGGCTTAATACCTGGGTGATGAAATAATCTGTATAACAAACCAGTAACTCATTTTTTTCTACAACAAAACTAAGGTATCATAGAATATCTTTAGTAAATTCTTCTAACCATTCATGAAAGCAATAATTCCATCTCACACAAATTATTTAAGAGAATGGAAAACATGTTGATACTGCCTATCTGATTTTATATGGTTAATATAACTTTGCCATCTAAATCCAATAAAAATAGTTAAACAAAAGGTATTTAACAGGGAAATATCTTGTATAAAAATGAATAATTTTATAAAACTCAAAAATTATATATAGTCTATATAATAATCTGTATAACAAACCCCCATGACATGGGTTTACCTATATAACAAACCTGCACAGGTACCTCTGAACTTAAAATAAAAGTTAAAAAAATAGAATTTTCACTCTGTCTTCTGGCTTTAAAGTTGATACAACAGAAATTTCTCAAGTATTATATATGGAGTTTTTGGGAGTGTTGTTAAGGATGACTCCTAAGTCAAAGATTTTGGCCTTAGCAACTGGAGACTATAAATCTGCTTTTATTTGAAGCGATAGAGCATTAGGGAGAAAAAAACAGATTTCAGCTTTAGATAGAGTAAGATACATGAAGTTTTGAATTGTAAATTGGAACCTCTTAGCAGTAATTACCTTCTGTATGGTATTTAATGTCATGGGACTAGATAATATGCAAAAAAATGTGAGTGTAGTGAGAGAAGAACTAGGTCCATTTTCAGGGGCAAACCCTCATTAAGACATGTGTATGGTAGAGAGAGAGAGAAGAAAAAACAATGAATGAAACTGAGAATAAATATTTCTTGAGCTGCAGGAAAACCTCTTAGAAGACAAAGAAAATGTAAGGAGAAGAGAATGTGTCAACCTTGTCAAAAGCTGCTGCTAAGTCAAGAATGAGGAGAGGTTTGAATTGACTGTTAACTTTGGTTTCCATGAGGTTATAAGTGTGCTTGATGCTTGTAATTTCATGATGTAGTGAGTCCAGCATTCTTTTTGCAGTGGATTTAAAAGGGCATACAGGGAGAAAAAGTGGAGAAAGCACATGTGAGCAAACTTTAGAAAGTCTTGCTAGAAAGGAGCAAATACGTGCAGCAGTATCTGGCAGGGAACAGTGTCAGTGTAATCAAGAAAAAATATATATCTATATACATAGATGTATATTTATGTATACATATATATATATTTTTGTTTTCCTTGTCTTTCTGCATGAATAAAGAATCTAATACAATATCGAATAAGAAATATGATAGGGAGAATTCTTATTTTGTTCCTGGTTTCAGAGAAAATGTTTACCATTTTACTCTTAATTATAAAGTATCTTAAGGTTGTTTTTAAAGATATCTTTAGCAGAAGAAGGAATTGCCTTTTAATCATAGTGTCTTCTTTTTACTCATAAATGAATATGAAATCTTTTCATATATATTTATAACTCTATTGACCTGTTTATTTCCCCTTTAGTAAATTAACCTGAGTGATTACCTTAAATAATATTTCTCATTTGAACCAAATTTGAAGATCTGGAAGAAGTCAATATTGGTAATTATAACTTTTTAAAATTATTATCTTCCATTTGCTTGTTTAAAATTTTTGAGTTTTATAAAATTTTTCATTTTTTATACAAGATATTTCCCTGTAAAATGCATTTTCTTTAACTCTTTTTGTTGGATTTAGATGGCAAACTTATATTAGCCACATAAAATCAGGTAGGCAGTATCAACATGTTTTCCATTGTCTTAAATAATTTCTGTGAGATGGAATTATTGCTTTCATGAATGGTAGACAGAATTCATTAAAGATATCCTATAATGCCACAGTTTTGTTGTAGAAAAAAATGAGCTACTGATTTGTTTTCTTCAATGGTTATAGAGATACTTGAATTCTCCTTGTTTCTAGCCTTAGTTTTAGTAAACCTCATTTTTAGCACTTATTAAATACTGATTTTGACAAACAAAACAGTAATGCATATATATTTGCAGAGCAGGAGTTTCCAGCAGTTCTAATGGATCAGAGTATAGCAGAAAGATATGTAGCTGGTGAATCCAGTGATTCTGAAGCAGAGATTCTTAAACCAGACTATTACTCTTTGTATGGCAAAGGAATAAAGTCTCCATGGCCAGAATCCATGTGTCTTCTGGTCATCTACAGCTAGATGAAGAAGATGAAGATGCTTCTTTCAATAAACCAACTGCTGAAGACAGGACTTGCTAAAAACATGTAATTACTTTTTAGCTTAAAAGGGTGAACTCTATGAACATTTCTGAGTCAGTTCCATGTTACCCAACTTAGGCAAAAAATAATAAAGCTTGTGAAAACCATTTTCTTGGTTACAATGTATTCATTGGCATTAAGGAAATCTTCTCATTTTGGACACCTATTTTATGAAAGATCTAGCTGCTGCCCCATTTGTTGAGCTTCACTCTTCTGCTCCCTCTGAAGGGACAATGGAAAGTGTCCTCTCCTCACCAGCACTGTGGTGGGGTGAGGCAGGTATTTGTCCTCTCCATTACACATTTCCTCATAGAGACATTACAAGTGAAGGTCAGGCTCTTCAATGCTGAAGAATGGTGACAGTATGGGTTAGCATATGGAATTGGCTTCTAATGACATTTAGTTATTTAGTAGATTGTGACTGTGTTGATCATTGTGCTCTTTAACAACACTGAACAAAGATTTCAGTCCTTATTATTTGTGTGGGGCCCAGTAAAAATGGTCTTGTTATATGGTAAGGACTTCAATTTTTATAACATATATGAGAGGAGCATGGCCGTCCTATAGCCTCAGGAACAAGGTGACAGCTTAGATTCTCTCAACAGAATACAGGTTTAGAATTAATTTAGGAGTTGGAAGAAATCTAAATCTAGGAAATTCATAAATTAAATCAATTTCTAAACCAGACATATACCTGATAAGAATATTATGTTTGACTTATAAATTCTATATTCTTAATTATTTACTATATGTAGTGAAAGAGAAACGTTAACAGATCAGTTGGTTTATCTAATATTTCCTGCCAGAGTTTATTTTATTGTCATATCTTCTTGCATGTATGCAGGCAAGGAAATGAGATGAATATTGTTGTAATAAAGAGTGATGGAAAATCTATGCAATTAAAATTTTGAAAAACGTATTAATGAACAACTATATTTTATGATACTTTCAGGTTTGTAGAAAAGTTACAGGATAATATGAAGGTCCTGTATATCCCACAACTCACTTCCCCTCTTGCGATCATTTTCAGTTACTTTAGTACTTTTGTCACAAATAATCAGCCAATAGGTATACATTGTTATTAAATAAATTCTGTGGTTTATTCAGATTTTCATGTTTCTTCCCTAATGACCTTTCTCACCTCTAGAATTCCACCAGAAAACTACAGTGCATTTAGCCATCATGTATCCTTAAATTCTTTTATGCTGTGGAAGCTTCACAGTTTTTGGTTTTTTTTTTTTAAATAACTTTGACGTTGAGGTGTACTAGAGTGTTTTGTAGAATATCTCTCAGTTTGGGTTTTTTTTTTTTAATATTTTAGCTAATGGACAGACTGTGGTTGTGGGCTTTGGGAGGAAGACCACTGAGGTAAAAATGCCATTCTCAGCACATCATATCATGGCATGGACAGATGTTTTCAATATTGCTCATTAGTGATCATGTTAACCTTGAAACCTAGGTAAAGTCTCCACTGGCATGCTGCTTTCTATACTGTCCTTTTGGAAACTAGTCACTAAGCATAGTCCACTCTTAAGGGACTGCCAATTTTTCTCTAACTTTTTGAAGTGTAGATTTACAAAATTACCTGAAATTCTTCTGTAGGATATTTGTCTCTTCTCCCCTGTTCATTTATTTATTTAGTAATTTATTTATATTCACATTTACACCTGGATATTTACTTTTTACTTTAGGTTATAATCTAATACTATTTGACTGACTTTGTTACTCAGATTGATCCAGCTTTGGCCATTGGGAACTCTGCCCTATCGTTTTGGGTTTTGAGCACTTTTACTTTCTTATTTTGAGCACTGCAAGATGTCTCAGTCTCATCTTGTATTTTCTAGCCCAGTGATCGAATAAGACATTTCAAGAAGACATTTTTCAAATAAAAAGATGGTGAAGAGGTTTAACCTACCAGAATTTAAGTCAAGTTACATAATAATCTTCTAAAGCACGTGGCTCTAAGTTGAAAAAACAATCTAAAATAATAAAATAAATGCTAAAAGGTGATATAAAGTATTATGAGATATCAATGTAATACACATCAGGAACAACTCAGTAATGGAAAAGTCACCCTCACCTTAATTGCTATTGTCACTAGCAATAAGGAAATTTAATTTTGGTTTATAGCTGATAAAATTGAAGAAATACAGATGAGAGATTATCACATAGAAAAGTCAAATTGTCTCTCCACATGAGAAAAATAAATGCCCTAAAATAATTAAAGTTATAAAAATACATAAAAATGTTATTGGCAGGTTTGTAGGAAACCGATATGCAGGAATGATAGCTCTTTGGGTTAATTCAAATCAGCAGGAGTCAATATTTCAGACAATAGGTAACAAACAGTAAGTTTTTATATATTTGATCCAATAATAGCATTTTGAACATTTTGGAAGTTAACTCCAAAGAGAAAAAAAATGTTTATAGAAGTGCTATTTATAAAATATACAATAGAAACCTATTCAAACTCTCAAGAACAGAATAATGGCTAAACATTAAGATATCTAAACACACTATAAAACTTGCACAGGTATTTAAATATAAAGAATATAAAAGCACATGGAAATACTATTGGAAAGGAATATTTCCATCACTGGAAACAATGTTACAAAAAGTAAAGCAGGCACTCCTTACATTTAAGTGAACGTATGTTTGTTCATTTATATTTATTTATTCAATCATTCAATAAAAATGTTTATTTGAGAACCTCAGTTAGATGCTGAGGAAATGCTATGACCAGTGGTATCTGCTTCTGGCTTTCAAAAATATTATATTTTAACAAAAACCCAAACATTTTAAAGCAATATAATAGAGCCAAGTGTTCATTAAGCATTAAGTTGATTTTTAGGTAAAGTATCTTAACGTAATTCGTAAAAGATGGAAACAATAAACTACTCTAAAATTACAGACTGAGGATGCAGGAGACTTTTCTTTTTTTTCCTTTTTTTTTTTTTTTTTTGTTGTTTTTGTTGTTGCCCAGGCTGGAGTGCAGTGGCGTGACCACAGCTCGCTGCAACCTCTGCCTCCCGGGTTCAAGCGATTCTCATGCCTCAGCCTCCTGAGTAGCTAAGATTACAGGTGTATGCCACCATGCCTGGGTAATTTTTATATTTTTAGGAGAGAGGGGTTTTTGCCATGTTGGCCAAGCTGGTCTGGAGCTCCTGACCTCAGGTGATCTGCCTGCCTCAGCCTCTCAAAGTGGTGGGATTACAGGCATGAGCCATGGTACTGGTGCTGGACCAGCAGGAGACATTTTGAATGTGAAATTAACCTCCTTGTCTCAGATCCGTTTGAGTGACCATGAAAAATTTACCTGAAAACAGACTTGTGTAATAGTGATTAACTTCATTTCTAAATAACATATTGAGGTATTTGTACTATTTACATTTAAGGTATCTTTCATGGGTTAGGTTTGAATTTATAATCTATTTGTTTTCTATTTGTACCGTCTAGTTTTGTTCTCTGGTTTTTTTTTCCTATCATCTTTTGAACTAATTAAATTTAAAAAATAATATCTTAGTATTTGCCCATTAACTCTAAGTCTTTATTTTGTTATGTTAGTTCGGAAGTTAATTGTCATACTCCTTTCTGAGTTTGTTGTCAAACATCTCTGAAGTTCCTTCAATAGGATATTTTGTTCTGGTGTTACTTCCTTTGTGACATTTCATTCTTTTCTTTACATCCACATTATTCAATATGTCAATATCTTGTTCACTGTTCAGTTGGCATCAGATCTGGAGTGGCATCAGATCTCAAGTAGTGACACCGTCAATATTCCCGTGGTGGTTGTAATTTGTTCTACAGCTGCACTTGTGTTTGATTCGAATTTTACTTGCAAGAATGTCATATTTGGTTTGCTACACTTTCATCTATTTTGGCCAATATCCTCTTCCAACTATCCATTTTTGTAAAATGTCATGCGAGTTTATCACTGAGAACCAACCAGACAATGCAACTACACATTTAAGTATCTGTAAATGAATTGAATAATAGATACGCAGTGATCAATCACTGATGGATTTTGAAAAAAGTGACATATTTGGTCACTAATCATAATCACTGTTATTTATGTAGTGGCTTGAGGACTGCAAAGCTAGCATGCAATTACTCAAGTTAATATACTATGATAGGCCGGGCGCAGTGGCTCACGCCTGTAATCCCAGCAATTTGGAGAGGCCGAGGCGGGCGGATCACGAGGTCAGGAGATCGAGACCATTCTGGCTAACATGGTGAAACCCTGTTTCTACTAAAAATACGAAAAAATTAGCCGGGTGTGGTGGCAGGCGCCTGTAGTCCCAGCTACTCGGGAGGTTGAGGCAGGAGAATGGCGTGAACCCGGGAGGCAGAGCTTGCAGTGAGCGGAGATCGCGCCACTGCACTCCAGCCTGGGCGACAGAGAGAGAATCCGTCTCAAAAATATATATATTTTTTATATAATATGAAATATATGTAAATATAAATATATATAATATGAAAATGGTTATAAATATTTAATGCGATAAAAATTAAGTAAATATATGAATATATACAAGATATAAATACATATATTATGATAATTGAAAATTGAACTGTGTTGTTATATGAATGGCTGTTTCTTTCTTTTTTTTTTTTTTTGAGATGGAGTCTCGCTCTGTCGCCCAGGCTGGACTGCAGTGGCGCGATCTCCGCTCACTGCAAGCTCCGCCTCCCGGGTTCACGCCATTCTCCTGCCTCAGCCTCCGGAGTAGCTGGGACTACAGGTGCCCGCCACCACGCTCGGCTAATTTTCTGTATTTTTAGTAGAGTCGGGGTTTCACCGTGTTAGCCAGGATGGTCTCAATCTCCTGACCTCGTGATCTGCCTGCCTCGGCCTCCCAAAGTGCTGGGATTACAGACGTGAGCCACCGCGCCCGGCCTGCTTTTGTCTTTAAACTTTCTTTCCTCATTATTCTGGTACTCTTGGAAACAACTCCCTTCATTGCTTCATTTTTCTCTCTAAATCTTTTTACTCTATTTTTATAATTCCCTTTGCTTGATTTCTTCGTCTTGTATTCTCTTTCATTTACTATGTTTACAACAATTTCTACTGTCTTTTTAACTGTTTACAATCATGTCTTTATTTCTGTCACTATTTTTTAACTCTTCAAATTTTTTCCCGAGCTCTATTTATATATTTATTTTTCATTGTATTGCAGTATCTTTTATTTTATTGCACTATCTTCTATGAACTCATATCAATATTTGGAGTCTTGTTAGATAAAAGCACATGTTCTTGTTACTTTTGGAAATCAATTTATATTTGTTTTATCATTATTTTCTGGTGATCTTTATTTTTTATTTTTTGTGTACGTCTTTTTGTTCTGTCTTCTCTTCTTCTCCTTTTTTTTTTTTTTTTTTTTTCTTTTTCTAAGTACAATTATACAGATTCTGACCAGGTCCTTATGACTGAATAAAGTAAAGCTTTTCTGTCCCAGTTTTTTACAGATCATATGTGAGGCACAGGCAAGAATGAGGAATTCTCTGTCTATGTGAATATGGTGTGAGAAAGACACAAGATTTATGTGTGCTTGCTTTCTTCTTTATTGTCAGCTGAAATTGGTGGCTCTAAGACTACTTATACTGTAAATTTTCTCCTCTTTTAGTCTCATACATACATGGCTTCCTGAAAATACGATTCTACTCTTTGATTCATTTTACCTTGCTATTTTTCTGCCAGAACTGATCCACTATGCCCCTGCCATCAGCCAATATAACCTTTCTCTTTTTTCTAAATAAGATAGTGTTGATTTTTTTGGGGGGAGGGGCATTTAATATTAATTGTTTTGTCAAACTGAATTCTGTCAGCTTTTCCTTTTTTAAGATCCTCAGGTCCAGAAATCCTCTCCCCGTGTCTTTTTCTCCTGATATTTTAAAATTTACAGCATGCAGATAGCTTCCGGCTATCTCTTGGTTTCTTCAAAGAAGGTGCTGGCATTTTTCCTTCTAGATCTGCCGAATGCCTTTAGTCTGTTTTAAAAAGGAAGTGGGAAATTCTCTCTGTGCATTGCTACTTCTTTACCTGGAAGTTGAAAGGCATGGTTCAAAGGTGTCATTCCGCATTCCCAGAAGATGGCGGACTTCACTTCTCTAGCTCTGCTCCTTGGCTTTCCCGGGTCCTTGTAAGTTCCAGGTTAATTTTGATTTCTTCTTCAGACAGAGCTCCAAGATAATATAGACTTCACAAAAGAAATCTAGACAACAAATTTTGTTTTGTTTTGTTTGTTTGCTTGTTTCCTGAATAGTAGATTAGTAAAAACGTGGATTTTAAACCAGAAAAATTTTACATAAATTTGAGTCCACCCTTCTGTCGATTTTTTTTTTTTATTTGTAGCAGTGTTTTCATTTGTAAAACATACATAGCAATGGTGTGGTGTGCTGGAGCTGGCTCATGCTTACTTGCAAGAGCCTATTGTTAATTTTTTAGGATTTTTACATGCCCAGCTGAGGTCATGGGGGTAGTTTTAAATCGGGTATGGTGCAGTATTTATACCACAGAAATTGGCAAACACTACGAGTCAGGACTCCTGCTCCCAGAGAGCTAATTGTTAAAGATTTGCCAGCTCATTGATACATAGCATTATTTTTTTTCATAGAACTATTGCTATTATAGAATTGAATGTAATAATGTATGGACTACCTTATGTAGGTTTTCTGTCTAGCATATTATAAATGCTTAGTAAATCTCCTCCACTTTTTGCCTTCCTGCTGCTCTATTCTAGTCAGTGTCTTAAATTTAGCTCTCATGGCCAATATAAAATTTCTTCTGAATTGCTTTGTTGTTCTTACATTGACCTTGACTCCAGACTGGGTAATAATGCTTTCCTGGCATCTGACTCAAATTAATTTATTTTCTTGTCACATAACCCCTCAGTTATTCCTTTCTCTGAGGCATTTTCTTACTGTTGACCCCTGTGGCTTGTAGCATTAATCAGTCTTTTCTTAGCTTAATTGAAGTTGTCCCTATTATTTCTCACATCCTGCTTTTTTCTTAAATTTTTTCCAACTTCTTAAAAATGTTTTGCCCTTTATCTCTACAATCTTCAAGGCTCATCGTGAACATAACTATTAAAATACACTGAAGCATATGAATTATTAATATATTTACCCCATGTATACAGTCCTCAGATTACTGAGATGCTGGTTGTGAGAGATTCCATGAAAAGAAAATATTGGTTCTCTGTAAAACTCTTAAATTTGCTCTTCACTGACAGAAAATTCCATTGTGAAGAATATGAAACCTCTAAATGAAAGAATGGGCTGATGGTCACCATTCCTCTACTTTATCCAGACCAAATTTTAAAACACGTCATCAGGAACAAGTCTTTATTAAAATAGGTAATAAGCCAGTAGGACTTCAAAACCAGAGGTTGTAGTACATTCACACTACACACTGAAGTGAGTCTAGCCGGGTCATAATTTTTTTTTTGAAAAAACAAAAAATATTTCAAATCATTCTCAAAACGAGCTTATTTCTATGAGGTAAAATTTGAAAGCTTCCAAAGCAAATTAGATAAAAAATGTGAAGTACAAAACTATCATAAGCAGACATTTTCTTTATATTTCATACAGACAGTTTTAAAGATTTGATTAGATAGAAATGCAGAGGCCATTTTACTCTAGTATATATATATACACATATATATATTTTACAGTAAGGTAACAAGCAGTGTACATTTTGAGTATGGGTGTTGCAGGATATAGCCTATCAGAATATGTATTCGGGAATGCTCTTCGTATAAACATCTGTGGATAGGAATTTGATAACGTCAACAGTTGGGCAGTGATGCAATCTCTACAGCCTCCACCCACCTTCTGGGGTCTCTAGAGCTTAAATATCCTACCAGAATTGTCCCTCTTTGAACTGAAATGGCCAGGCCCTTACCTTCCACTTCTATCCGACACTAACGGAACTAGGCATCTCTGTGAAGCATCCTTGAAAGGGATTTCGTACAACTGTAGTAACGCTCTATCCTTGAAGGCAGAACTGAGGCTAGTAAATCTATGCACAAACTAGATGATTATTTTTGTCTTATTGTTTGACTTACTGTTTCTTCTTGTCTTTAACTTATTGTTTCAGTTAAAACAAAGTTGAATAGAAATACTTTATTGGTGTTAAAATCGTATGCAAAAGTTTCTACAAATTAATATCTCTAAGAGGGTGATTCCCAATTTAACAGAAAATTGGACCAATTTCAGACAAAAACAAATCTCATAGAAAACACACACTTGTTGGCCGGGCGCAGTGGCTCACGCCTGTAATCCCAGGACTTTGAGAGGCTGAGGCGGGCAGATCACCTGAGGTTAGGAGTTCGAGAACAGCCCGTCCAATATGGTGAAACCCCGTCTCTACTAAAAATACAAAAAAATTAGCCGGGCGTCGTGGCACGCGCCTGTCGTCCCATGCAACTCGGGAGGCTGAGACAGCAGAATTTCTTGAACGCAGGAGGCAGAAGTTGCAGTGAGCAAAGATCACGCCACTGCACTCCAGCCTGGGCGACAGAGCAAGACTCCATCAATAAAAAAAAAAAAAGCACACATTTGTTCACATAAAGATTCACACTGATGACAGTGAATCTCCCCAATAAGGAAAAAGATTTGAAAAAAGAGTATGTATCTGAAATGTTATCTGCTAAAATTTTATTTTAAAAATAAATTATTTTGAAGAAAAAGTATGCAGTAATTTTTAAATAAATTTTTACAGATTATTTTGGAAATTACTGATTTGGAGGAAAACCCATTATTTTTATGAAAATTATTTTCAAAATATTTCAATGAGTTTTTCACATGCATACATATGTAGCATTTATTTTAGCATATGTAGAAAAAGGCATTGTAAATCAAGTTTATTAAATCAATATGCTTCTAAAATTCCTATGATTTATTTTATTATTGTAAAAAATATACACAACCACAGCATAATATGTACTTTTTAGCCATTTTTAAGTGTACAGTTTATTAATTTACAGCATTGTGCAAACATCATTACTATCTAGAATATTTTTATCATTTCAAATGATACAAATTAAACGATAACTCCCCTTTATCTCCCTCACCCATAGTAACCACTATGCTATTTTCTGTCTCTATAAATTTGCTTATTCTAAGTAATTCATATAAGTGGAATTATATGTTTTCAAGATTTATTCACTTTGTAGCATGTCTCAGGAACCCTTTCTCTTTTTTTTTTGAGACAGAGTCTCGCTCTGTTGCCCAGGCTGGAGTGCAGTGATGCGATCTCGGCTCAATGCAAGCTCCGCCTCTTGTGTTCATGCCATTCTCCTGCCTGAGCCTCCCGAGTAGCTGGGATTACAGGTGCCTGCCACCACGGACAGCTAATTTTTGAATTTTTAGTTGAGACAGGGTTTCATTATCTTGGCCAGGCTAGTTTTGAACTCCTGACCTCGTGATCCACCCACCTTAGCCTCCCAAAGTGCTGGGATTACAAGTGTGAACCACCGCTCCTGGACAAGAAATCCTTTCTTTTAGTCTGAATCATGTTGTATTGTGTATATACCATATTTTCTTTATCCATTCATCTGTTGATGAACATCTGGATTGTTCCCACCTTTTGGCTATAGTTAATAATGCTGGTATGAACATTGCTATACAAATATCTGCTCAAATTCCTGCTTTCAATCTCTTGTGTATATACCCAAAAGTGGAATTACTGGATCATGTGGTAATTCTATGTGAATTACCTATGTGAAGTATCATATTGTTTTCCACAGCAGTTGAACCATTCTGTATTCCCACCAGCAATGCACAAGGGTTCCAATTTCACCTGATTCTTGACAACACTTGTTTTCTGTTTTTTGTTGTTGAAATAACTATCCTTATGGGTATGAAATGATGTTTCATTGTGGTTTGATTTGCATTTCCCTAATGACTGGTGATATTGAGTATCTTTTTATGTACTTACTGGCCATTTGGATGTCTTCTTTGGAGAAATGTCTATTACATTTCTTTGATCTTTTTTTAATTGTGCTGCCTGCTTAAAATTCTTTAGTTTTGAATAATTTTACTTTTTATGTAAATTAAGAATATGTTCTCCATGCCCAATATTTCTTTATGGATGTCGTATTTCCAAAATATTAATATTTTCTCTCTGGTTTCTATCCTATGTTTTTTGTTTATAACAAGACTCTTAAAGTTTTGAAGCTACTTACATTAAAAACTCAAAATAATTCAGGCAAACAGTCTTGTGGATATTTTTCTGGAGAATAGATCATGAACCCTCAGTTTCACCCTCTGCTACTCTCTATAAAATTATGGGAAAATCATTTAATTTCTTGCATTCCTGTTTTGATCATGATTAAAAATTGAATTTTTTGGGTGAGACTAAATTTGAGACATCATTGAAGTGTACATTTTTATATCAACACTGCTGACAAAAGGAAAAGAAAGAAAAAATGCATACATAGTTATAGGAAGAAGGGATACTACTTATTTGCTTATTTAAATTTTCTCTCTAAATGTCCTTATGAGAAGTACTTTTTTACATTTTTGAAGTATAATTTACATATAGCAAAGTACACTGACATGGAGTGTACTTTGATGAGTTTTGACAAATACATATACATTTGCAATTACATGAAAATACAAATCATTTTCATTACCCTGAAATTTCCCTCTGTGTCTTCCCAGTCCATTTCCTATTTCAATAGGCAACCACCTTTCTGATTTCATTCAACAGGAATTAATATTCTTTCATTTAAAATTTTATTTAAATGGACCTTTGGAGCATACACTCTTACATATCCAGCTTCTTTTTCTCAGCGTATTTTTTGAGGATCTTGTATGCTATTATTTTAATCAGTGGTTCATTCCTGTTTATTGCTGAGTGAGTGCTCTTCCACAATATTAGTATATCATAGTTTGTGTATCTCGTTTCCTGTTAATGGGCATTTTGGGTCCTTTTGTGCACATACAGTTTCTTTTTTTTTTCCAAATGTGTAGAAATGGAGTTCTGGGTCATGGCCTAGGGATGTGTTAACTTAATGAGAACATTCTCATTTTCTCAGGTGGATATATGTAAAAATTTACACTGTCACAATTAGTACATGAGAATTCCTATTAGTCAGTGTCCTAGATAATATTGGTGTTGTTAGAGTCTTTCAATGAGTCATTCTAAAAGGTATATAATAGCAGTGTAATGTAGTTTTTTATTTGCATTTTTCTGATGACTAAGGATGCTGAGCATCCTTAATATGGCTTAATAAAATGGCTTAATGGCTATTTGTATATATCAGTTTATTCAAGATGTTTCTGAGGTTTGCCCAAATATTTTATTGGGCAGTTGGGATTTTATAATTGTGTTATAAGAGTTTATATATTCTGGATATAAGATATTTACCAAATATGTAGGCATTCTAAATGATTTTACCCCCAGTCTCTGACTTGCTCATTCATTTTCTTTACATTGAGGAGAAGTTTTAATTTTAGTGCAGTCCATTTTATTATTTTTTTATAGTTAGCGCTTTTTGGGTCCTGTCTAACAAATCCTTTATTACCTTAAGATCATAAGGTTATTCTTCTGTATTGGCTTCTAGAAAATACATAGTTTTAGATTTTCATTAGAACGTAAATATATTTTTGTATATAGCATAATAATATATAAATAGGTGATTTTTTTGTTTGTTTACCATATAGAGAACCAGTTGTTCTAGCATAATTTGTGAAAACAACTTTCCTGTCCTCATTGAAATGTTCTCATACCTTGGACAAAAGTCGACTGACTATATACTTTGGGGTCTAATTATGAATGATCAATTCTCTTCGGTTATTCTATATATATAGCTAGGCCAATAACACATTATCTTAATTACTGTAGCTTCAAAAGTAAGGCACCAACTGTGTTTTATTCTCCAAGTATTTTGAAAATAATTCTATATCTTTTGCATTTTCACATACATTTTACCTTTACCAAAAATATATTTAAAACATGCTAGGGGCCGGGAGTGGTGGCTCACTCCTGTACTCCCAGCACTTTGGGAGGCCAAGACAGGTGGATCACTTGAGGTCAGGAGTTCGAGATCAGCCTGGCCAACATGGTGAAATCCTGCCTCTACTAAAAATACAAAATTAGCCAGGTGTGGTGGTGCATGTCTGTAATCCCAGGTGCTTGGTAGGCTGAGGCATGAGAATGGCTTTAACCCGAAAGACAGAGATTGCAGTGAGCTGAAATCGCACCACTCCACTCCAGCCTGGGCAAGAGGGTGAGACTCTGTCTCAAAAACAAAACAAAACAAAAAACTATGATGTTATTTGAATCTTATTGGATCTGTAAACCAAGTTGGACAGACTAGTACTTTGTATTAGTCTGCTTGGGCTGCCATAACAAAATCCCATAGATTGAGTCACTTAAATGAGAAATTTATTTTCTCATTGTTCTGGAGGCTAATAGTTCCAGATCAAGGTGCACCAGGATTGTTTTTGATGAATGCTGTCTTCCTGACTTGCAGATGGTTGCCTTCTTGCTATGTCCTCCCATGTCCTTTCCAAGGTGTATGTGTGGGTGTGGGTGTGTGTGTGTGTGAAAGAGAGAGATAGAGACAGAGAGCGAGAGTTCTCCCTGTCTTGTTATAAAGATACTAATCTTATAGGATCAGGGTCCCACTCTTAGGACCTCATTTAACCTCAATTACTTCCTTAGAGGCCCTATCTCCAAATCTAATTATTCTGGGAATTAGGGCTTTAACATTTAAATTTGGTGGGGGTCAAAAACATCTAGTCCATAATAAATTTTAACATTGAGTCTTCTTATCTATGAAGATGTTATATCTTTCCATTGATTTTGCACTTCTTTCATTCAACAATTTTGTACAGATTTTAGTGTAGAGATTTTACATATTATCCTGTTACATTTATCATCAGTGTTTTATGTTCTCTGTGCTATTGTAAAAGGCATGGTATGTTAGAGTTCAGTTTCCAAGAATGTAATGTTAGTACATAGAAATTTATATTTTGTATTTATTTTGACTCTGTGTACTGTGATCTTAATTTATTTAGCAACTATAGAAGTTTTTTAAAATATAGATTTCTTAGGATTTTGTACACACATCATCATGTTGTCTGAATAAAGACAATTTTGCATCGCTTTCTTTCCTCCTCCCTTTTTCTTCTCTTCTTTCCTAAACAATTCAGTTCTATTGAAGATTAACCTATACATCCACTTTCTAGGTTGAAAAGGACCCTATTGCATAGAATGAGGTTTCAGAACTAAATTAGGGTAAAGGAGGCATTCTTAGAGATGGGAGCTGATGTAGAGAGTCAGGAGAGGTAAGGAAATTTACTGTACAGGGATTTGGACTGGTGAGGGCATTCAGAGTCAGAAAAGGGTATGGTGGGCATATACTCAATGGACTGGCCCAGTGAGAGGATCAGATGAGAGCAGAATGAGCAGGGCAGCCTTGCACAGGAGGGTCCAGCATGAGGTTTCAAAACCTGGGCAGGAATTACTAGATGAAGTATCCTGAGAGAGGTGGAAGACATGGGAGATTTGTTACATGCAGCAGGATTGATCTAATAAGTTAATACGTATAGGATCATTGTAACAAGTATTCTTTCTCTCATAGAAGAAAGTTGCAAATAAGAAAAGGAAGAAAATTAGAATCACTTTTGTGCTATTGGGTAGCAATTAGAAATACTGATGTGAATTCATGTTTTAAACGTATTTATTCAGATTGATATAAAAATGTCCTGGAGGGGGCCGTGGGGGACTTGCTCACTTTTAACAACCCCTGTAGGGGCAGAGGTCTCAGCTCCATCAGCAGCACGGAACCCAAGAATGCCATGCCAGGATCTGACCTCTACCATTATGAAGAGGAAAAATCTTCTTGACTTCATTATAGAAGTGATTCCTTTGTAAAGATTAATTATTCAGCCTTCACTGAACTGAAAACACACCATGTAGACCCTGTAAGAAGGATGAATGCCACCACCAGTAATGTTTCTATATGCCAATTAGTATTCTCTACTTTTCTTCACAAAAGTAGGTCCAGATAAAGCATTCGACATTTTGGTACAACCTATATTAAGAGCTATCTCAACAACAACAAAAAGAAATATATCTACATATAGTATGTGTGTGTACAAATATTTCTTTGTTGTGTCCAATGAAGAGGGTCTGGGGAAAGCAGTGTCCCAATAGCAATGAATACACATATTACAGAGATATTTGTTTCTAAATATCATTTTTGACTAAGAGGAACCAGAGATCTTTTGAGATATAGATGATTTCACAGGTGGTCCACTGTATGTACAAGATAAACTCAACCCTTCTTGGGCCGAAAAGCAAGTAAGTGCTCAAATAATAAATGGAACCTGTCTAAAGTATTCAGAAGCAGATTAATATGATTTGAACATAAAAATAAATATTAGTGATGGGTTACAACCCATTGGAGAAGATAGAAAACCATTATTCTATACAGATATAATTTATTAATTGATTGATTAGAACATTTTATAAAGAGTGGGATATTTACATAGTTTTTTTCTCTTTTTTTTTTTTTTTTTTTTTTTTGGTGGAGGGGGCGGAGTCTCGCTCTGTCGCCCAGGCTGGAGTGCAGTGCAGGATCTCGGCTCACTGCAAGCTCCGCCTCCCAGGTTCAGGCCTTTCTCCTGCCTCAGCCTCCGGAGTAGCTGGGACCACAGGCGCCTGCCGGCCACCACGCCGGCTAATTTTTTTTTTTTTTTTTTTTGTATTTTTAGTAGAGACGGGGTTTCACCGTGTTACAGGATGGTCTCCATCTCCTGACCTCGTGATCCGCCCACCTCGACCTCCCAAAGTGCTGGGATTACAGGCGTGAGCCACCGCGCCCGGCTGTTTACATAGTTTTTTTTTTTTAAGCTTCTATAAAAGATGTATTAATTATGAAGGGAAAATGTAAATCTTTCTAGTGGAGGACTTAGTCAACCAAATTGAATATCACTGTCTGTAAAGGCGTAAGTGGAAACGCACCTGTCAACAGGATACAGAAAGAACATAGCACCGTTTCTGTGATAATCCTGCTGTAAATGCCTAACCCAAATATAAACATGAGGAAACATCAAACCTAAATTGAGGTAGATACAACAGTACAACTCATCTGTAATTATTGCAGTCACCTAAATCTTCAAATTTAGGAAGGACTGTTACTCTTCCAGCCTCAAAGATGCTGAAAGTCAAGACAACTAAATGTAGCACATGATTTGAGGTGGTTATTTGTACCACACAAGATATTATTGGAACAACTGGTGAAGTTTAAATGGAATATGGTAATTGGATTATGATAACAAATTAATATTACATTAGCAATGCTCATAGAGGATTTGAGATCGGGTAAGAATGTCCTTTTGTAAGAAATGCCAACTGAATTGCTCAGCAATGATCATTCATCAAGTTGACAACTTGCTGTCAAATGGTTGAGGAAAAAATAAGTTATTTATACATTAGTTTTACCTTTCTATAAGTTTGTAAGTGTTTCAAAGTTTTTTTAAAAAAAGGTATTTTTTTCCATCTCCAATTAGCACACCTGTGATTGTATTTCTATTTACTAATCCCAGTGGTTAGGATCTCTAGTGTTAGGTTACGTGGAAGGAGTGAGAATAGATGTTCTCTCTCTGTTTAACTTACAGGGAAATATTTTTTGTCTTTCTACATCACATATGATATTAACTACAGAAATTTTTGTAGAATAAATAGACAATCAAGTTTTACAGTGGCTTATAGTGAAATAATAAGATAAAATACAGTCAAATAGTCTTGTAGATTTTTTTTTCCGTAGGGTATATCATAAGACAAGTTGAATTTATGCTCTCCCTCTAAATATCAGTATGATTATAGGAAAATCATTTAATTTCTTTGGTTTCCAGTTTGATCAAAACTAAAAACAGAGTAGTTGAGTGAAATTAAATTTGAGACACCATTAGACTCTGTAATTCTATATCAACAGTGCTGATAAAAATAAAAGAAGGAAAAAATACACTCATAAGTACAGGAGGGGGAGATAATACTTCTTGACATATTTAAGTCTGTTTAAATCTCTTTAAGAGGAATGTTTTAAATTATGGATGTATAATTTGAACATGGCATGGTGACAGAAATTGTGAATATAGTTTTAGCAGTGTATTTTTAAATTTACATGAATGTAGTTTCATTGTTTCTCATTTTTTCTATTTTCTCATTTTTCTTAACAATATATATATTAAAGATTTATAATGTCATAACTTCTACATCTATATTATTGCATCTAACTGTTGCACAGTATTTTATTATATGCATCCAGCAAATTAGAAACAACAAACCATTTATTGGGCCTACCAAGAAAGACTCCAATCAAATTTGACTAAATTCTTGATCACATATGTTTTTTGTTTGTTTTTGTTTTTATTTTTTAAGTTTCTGTGCATGGTTCGTAGTGGGAAGAGAAACATAAGCCTGGCCTCTCTTAATGTTCTGAATCCCAATCTTTAATTAATTACTGTGATCAGTGTCCTGCGGTTTATTTACAAAATTATGTTTTGTTGCTCCAAGCTTGAGCTTCTTCAGGATTTCCTAGAGATGAACTGATCTTACTGTTGGTTGTCTTATGCTGTGGTTTTACTTTGCTTTAATTTTCCATTATTCCAAATAATCTGCATTTAATCTTAACGTGGGTAGTTTTGAGACACTTTATAGCTTTTGTTCTAATTCTTTCATTTTAACCTAATTGTGGGAGAGAAGGGATGACTGTAAGTTGGTATATGCCTTGTAGAATTACTACAGGGAGGGAAAGGGGAACTGAAAAATGCAGTAGGGTCGCGAACGATGGCTCACTTTGAGCTAATTGCCAGGCAAATTACCCTTAAATTAAGTTCAGAGTAAATTTACTGTAACATTGCTAGAAACTGATACAGTATTGTCTTTTGCCTCTTCTCACTGAAGTGTATCCTCACAATTTTCTCATATAATTATTTTTAATTTTATTTGTCTTGATTATGAAATAAACTCAAATTAATACCAAATACATATATTTGCAATGACTAGTATAGGATATGAAATTTTTGTTAGTCCTCCAGAGATTACGCTTTTTAACCCCAAACATATTCTGTTCCACTCATTTTTACTACACATATGTTGACATAATATTAGCACTTTGTTTTTAAAAATAAAATATTTGTAGTACTTCTAAACATAAAATAATTAATTTAATACTGGTTACCGCTTATTGAGAGCATAGTGTGTGCCAGCTATTGCTAAGCACTTTAAATACTGAATTTCTAATCTACTCAACACTATTGCAAGACAACGATTGTCATTCCTATTTTAACAAGAGGAAACTGAAGCTTAGGGAAGTGGCCTATAATATCTATCAATTTAGCTAATAAATTACATAGCTAGAATTCAAGTCTAGTATTATATAATCAGGAAATTTGGATTATTTCACTATAGTAAAAAAAGGCATATTAGTAAATATATGTAAAACACCACAGAGTAACAACTTTATTTTATTTTTGTGGACAGGTTTCTGATTGAATACATCTATCTATCAGCAATACATTTTAAAGGCTGAAGTTGCTTTGGTCTAAAAATACACTGACAACCATTTATAGAGAAAAGAACCCTGGAGTTTCAACTCCAGCATAGATTAGCAGCCAAGATTCCTTGAAAACATGACATAATCTCCTACAGTCTCAGTTTTTATAGTTTTAAATAAAATAATAGTATCTATTTATACAAGCTGTAATTTGAGAATCAAAATTAGGTAATAAATATGCAAATCCTTTAAAATCTATCAAGTTTTATTCAAATGCCCAGCATTATTCAAACTTAGGGCACACCTCAATGAAAAAACACAATAGTTTCTATCAAAAAGCATATTTAATTCAATGCAGTTTTAATTATATAAATGAAAAGAAAAATCTAAAGGAAATAGTAAGAAGTGGAAGTCAGTGTAAGTTGTAATTACATGTTGGCCATGTGCCTTGGTGGGTTGGTGGTTGGGCTTCTTTCCCAACATATTTCCCTACAGATCTGTTTAATATGCAGGAAGCATGCAAGCCAGAGGAAATGTGTAGAATGTTGAAACACACACACACACACACACACACACACACACACACACACACACACACACAATTGCAAATATTTCCAAATGAAACATTATCATCTTATTTAAACTTAATCTGGAGAATAAAAAAGAAGAAATCTCACTTTAAGTTGAGCATCTGGGATCGTGGATTACTGAAGTGAAATCAGCCAACATGTTAAATTAAAAAGTTAAAGGAAAGACACAAATAGTCAGGTGTTCACAAATTTGGAGACAAAATAATGAAAACTGGTAAGTTATTTAAGAGCAGTGATATGAAAGCAAAATAGTATAAAGTCACACTTTAAAACACAGAAAGTATGACCACATTTCATTTGTCTTCTGGCCAAAAGCCATATAGCAACCCAAATCTGGCTCATAAAATAAAGAAACTGATAGGGGTATTTGCATTTTAATCAGTTCAATGATTCCAAATGAAAATGTTCACTTCGCATTTTTGATAGTAATTTTGAACTAGACTTTAACATTTACTTTGTATGAAACTTGGCCTTTTCTTTCAAAGCATCATTTTCAATCAGTCCCATAATTAAAAACTTATGAATTATTGTTGTCACCTGTTTCATTATCATGCAGACTCATCAGTTGTGGTAATATTTTAACCACAATTTCACAATATCAGAACAAACCTATTTTTCTCTTTTTTCCCATGTTTTCAGTTGACCAAAAACATTTTCAATTTTCTCTTCCCATATACAGAGATCTCAGCATAAAGTACTGCAGTGTGAATCAGTTCAATAGTGAAATGTTTGAAGGAAGTGTTGTTGATTGGATATTAATCTAAGATAAATTTATGAATATTGTAGCTATGCATTCAGTTGGATTAAAAAGATAATTTATTGTGAATGTTTCTCTTATGTGCCCAGATATACATTTGTTTACACATATTTGTAGCTGAACAATGTCAGAACCAAGCAGTAAATTCCAACAAGGGCTTATTTATTGCTAAAATTGGCTGCCTGATACAACTTGACTAAAACAGATTTATGGAAATGATTTGCACAAGGAGTAAAATGTTAACAGCCTATTTTATTTAGTAATTTATTTATAATAAACAAACAAAAATAATTCCTATAATACCTATTTCCTGACAGCATATTTGTGTACAATAATAAAACAAAATAAGGGATCCAATGTCTATTTTTATTAGAAGAATTATTCTACTAGAAAAACAAGTTAAAACAAATAATTCAAACTAGACAGACCTCCCCATGACATCACCCCAAGCAACTGCTTTTAAGAGATGAGATTTCTAAAATCTGTAAAATAATTGAAAATGAAAGGGGAATGCTGAATGAGATAGAACTAATTTAATGAGAGAAAAATCTGGATCTTGAAATGGAATATTTGAATAACTAATATATGTTGAAGTTTATATTGGCAGGCCACAGCAAAGCAAAAACTAAGACTTTATGATTAAACGTCCTGATTCTAACATATTGCACAAGCTTTGTAAACGTTGCTTGAACCAAACTGATATAAATGGTAATAATATAGATGTATCTTACAATATTTAAAAATGTTTCTCTGTTTCGTTTTCTCTTTTGACTTATATGCAGATATCTTCATTTCTTGACTGACTTTTTTCCTTGATTAGATTCATCTCCTTGATGTGTATTTTATTATATCTTCAAGTATATACTTACATCCTTTGGAAGTTGAATGCAGTATTCTATATAAAGTATGGCCATCTAAAATTATTTTTACTTATTTAAAATACATTTTGATTGTTAAATAAATGTATTTTAAATATAGACTACAATTTTTAAAAAAGATTTTCATTTGAATAGTTACTATTATTTAATTTATTGTAATTCCTTTGCCATAGTGTCATTGCTTGCTAAACCCAAATTATAGTCTGGGGAAATATTTGAAATTGTGAATGTCATGGAAAATTCAGAATCCTGGTCATAGTTTATAATAATGAGCTATTAAAACAAAGATATAATTTCTATATAACAAAATATTCTGAAATGATAAAATGCTCTAACACAGCATTAAACAGCCTCCATTACAGAAATTTGACCCCAAACACAAATAATTCTCAACATTATTTACAGGATGTCCTACAGAGGATTTAAGACTTCCAACACTTAAGTGATCTGTGGTTAACCTTGTACTTATTATTCTACATTCTCAAAATATATTTTGTCTTTTTCCCCTTTTTCCTGTTTATTTTACTTAATATCACTTGGAATTCTAATAGTCAAAAAATTATTTTATTTTCATACTTTGCCTCTTGTTTCTAAAAATTTGAATTCTGGGGGTGGTTGAAAGTTTTAAGCCAAATATAAAACTGCTGTAATGCTTTCTCAAAGGGATTAAAAACAATTAAATTTGGTTCTTGCTTGAGAAAACTGCTATGCATCATTAGTTGCCTCTTTAATCCATTCCATTCATCTTATTTTCTTTAGTGACTATACTAATTTTTAAGTAATTGTTAGATTCAGCAGGGAGGATTTTATTGGAACATCGTAATACAATCAGTTGCTGCAGAAGCCGAAGTAGTTATTTACTCTTATATTAGACACAGATGCTTACTGGTAACCTCAGGCTTTTATTATTTTTTTTCTTTTATAAACTGACTAGAAATAAGCATCGTGAATTCATCTCATTTTCTTTTCCTTTGACAAGACTAAAGGATGCAAGCAAACAGCTTAGCTAAAAAATGAGATTAAGTTGTGGAATTTTAATGGTGTTATCTTTATTGTTATGTGAAGGGGGCTGAGGATCACAAATGAAATTAAGCATGAAATTATATGTAAATGTATTGAGTTTTTTTTCAGTCAGCAATTGGTTCTGTTTTACTAAAAATGAAATGGATGTAAGTTGAAAATTACATAATGGGAAATAATAATGATTCTGTAAATTAGGGACATTAAATTGGTAGAAAGAAAAAAATCACACCTTTTTTAGTTGGCAACAAAAGTAAAATACAAGTATTACAAAAAAACCCAGAAAATTTCAAATTAAAAAATTATCTGGAAGGTATCAGTGATAGAAATAATCTAAATTATAGTAAGTAATTAAAAAAAACTGATGTTAATAATTCTATTCTGATCTTTGTTTAAAGTTACAGAATATACTAATAGTACTAACAGAAAGCCATTCACCATCATTCCACCCCCCTCCCACATGACCACTACAATACACACAAATATTTTTTAGAGACTTTAAGCACATCAAATGAGTTTGTCTAGGCAAGTTGAAAAGAATACCTTCCAATATGTTTTCTTTCTGTACTTTTTTAAAGAAAAATATGAAAAAAACTTCAGATTAAATTTTATTTGGTTTAAAAAATTTGAAGTAATTGGGAATATATATAGAAATACTTTTTGTGTACATCTCTAGAAACCAATTGAATGTGTAATAATATCACAGAATTATGAAGAATAAATTATGCTCAATTAACTTTATTATATATAGAATGAAAGGCATACCAAATGGGCTGATTTTTTAATACAGCTATATTAAATATTTTATTAAATTGTGTAAATATTTTAATTCTGTTTCTTATAATTCTCTAGTCATTAAGTTTTTAAGAATCATCCAAACAATAACTATTTAATGGTTAGTTTAACCAAAAAAGATGTTTAATTTTTAGTAGTAGTAACACTTTTAGGGTATTTTTTAGTAAGGATGGAGCTCATTATAACTGATTTTAATTAAATATTATTAAAGGAGGCTTGCAGAGCTAATCATATAAAATAACTGGTAAAAAATGTTTAAAATATTTTTGGAATTTTGAGATTCTACAGAAAATATATAAATTAACACAATCTTCACAGTTACATTTTATTTATTAATATAAATCAAACACAATTATTCTTAAAGCAATTAGAGACTACAATTCATTTTGAATCAGTAAAATTGCATGTTTTTTAAAGTTAAGCTTCCTTCAACATTGTAGCCCACTCTTATTTGCTTTCCTAGCTAAAGAAAAAATGAATTAAGTATAGATTAGAAGCACAAGGAACAACCTGATGATACATCAAATCAATAACACTTATAAATTAAAAGTGGATTGGGTTTCCATAATGGCTATACTAACTACGAGAGCAGACATAAACACTAATGATTAGTAATGTAGAAGAAAGCTGAGATAGAAGTGGGTTTAATTTTTACCTTAAATTTGCATTATTTTTGTTTTAAGTTTCTTCTCAACAATAAGTTATATTGATTGGCTTCTCCTCTTGCCTTTACACCCACCTCTGCTAATAACATAAGCAAAACATCCAATAAGGTTTCTCCTAGAAGTGATTGTGGTTTCCAAATTGGATATCACTACCTAGCATCAAGCTTATTATCTTTGAGGTATAGTAAAGATGGCAGCTCATTGTCTTCATGTTTTTTTCATGTGCTGTTTGTATTAGAATTCTCCAATCCCAATAGACGTATGTTAACCTTGCTAGAAGACAGTTGCTTATAGATTTCTCACTTTTTTTCACTTCTAGAGATTGAAAGCTAATTCACTCAGATTAATTTATATTTCAGAATAATAAAATAGCTCACTCCCAAGTGATATTTGAGGATAGATGATAATCTCTCTCTCTCATTTCTGATGAAGTTTGCATACATTCCAGGTAAATAGATTAAGCTACAGGTTCTCTTGACGGTTTCCTGGGCTCAGTGTCTTTCCGCTGTGATACTGACCCACTATATGATCAGTGAGTTGTGATGCCACATCACCCCCATGAACGAGGGGGCAAGAGAAACTGATACTAGCATGAAACTTATGCTGCCTGCTCTGCCGACAGAGTAATTAATGTCTACATCTGTTTGAGCTCATTGTGTCTTTAGTGGCCACATCTATGGAAGTGTGATAAACCAGACTGGCAGCTGCTACCATGCTACTGCTTGGGAACTGCTTGACAGTCCTATATGTATAGCTTGCAGTCTTTGTGTTCATTTAATGGTCAGGCTTGTAAGGAAAGAGAAAAGTCACATAAGCCTCTAATGAAACTTTTGCAAAATTAGAAAAGAATAATAAAATGTCACTGATACTTTAGGAAATCCAGTGGCACAAAAAAACCTCATTTAGTAAATAGAGCATCACTCTCTGGGGAACCAAGAAATAAGTCAGAGAAGAGTAAAGAACATTAGAAAAATTAAATCATATCTTTCAAGGGACTAGAAAAAGTACAGTACATTCTTATAAAAAAGAGTTATTTGAAGCAAGCAAAAATTATACTCCAAAAATAAATAATCAAAGAAAATGTTAAAGGAGGTTCTGGGAAAAATAGGGATTAATTGAGGTCTAATAAATCTGTAATATAAAATGTAAAGAGAGAGCAAGAAGCAAATAAAGATTAGAAAATGCAAAGATAAAATATTAATTTACATAATATTTTTCAAAGACATAATGTTGGACAATAATGTTTCCAAAACATTAATGGTCAGATTAAAGGTACTTGATGATATATTACCACATAAAAGGAAAAGTGCAATTTCTATAATTATTATTATGAGATTTTAAAACCACAAGGATAAGATCTTTTACACATTCTCAGAATAGTCTTTCTCTTTTTTACCATAATTAAATGAAAATCAGATTTGACTAGACTTTCCAACAGCAATATTGGATACTAGAAGAAAAGGACAGAGTTTCTAAAATTTTCTGAGAAAAAAATATTAGGATCATAGGATATATAACTAGTTGAATTATCAGTCAAGACATTTGAGGAAAGCCATCAAGAAAAATCATGCACGTGCACACACACACACACACACACACACACACACACACACACACACACACGAATAGGGAGAAAGAACAACTTGAAAAGTTAGAGAATATGCAGAGAAAATAAAATCTCAAAGGAAGCACCAAGTTTCACAGGCATGTAAGATATTATGCAATGTAATTTTATATACATTATACTCATAAAATAATAATAAATTACATTTCTAATTAGCCATTGCTGCCTAACATTGCAAAATTTAATAATGTAGCACAACAACAATAATTTTATCTGCCATGATTCCTGGGTTTCAGGACCTTGGAAAGGATTTGGCTGGGTGTTTCTTTACTTAGAGTTACTTACGAAGTTGCAGTCAAATGGTAGGTGAGGGGCTAGAGTTCCTGAGGGCTGATTGAATGTCTCTCTCTCTCCCCCCCCCGCCCACCTCCCCTTCTCTCTCTCTCTGTCTCTCCTCTCTCTCTCTCTCTCTGTGTCTTGCTCTTTCACGCCTGCTCTCACTCTCACTCTGTCCTTATGTGGTCCAATGGCTTTCCCATGTGGTTTCTGCACAGCCCAGTGGGAGCTCCTGAAATTCTGGTAGCAGCCAGACAACTGGATAGCGTCCATGGTAACTCAGGGAGTGGTAGTACAAGTGTTCAAGTTCCAAAGGCAGAGGCATCTTTCTTCACCTTGCCCCACCCAACCTCAAAAATGATGCAGTATCACCTTAGCTACTTACGTTCTCTCCATTACAAAATATTCAAGGGAAGAGGAATTAGGTTCCACATCTTGATGGGGATTCAATAGGAGGGGTATAGACTTTTTCCTCCTGATTATGGAATGGCAAGTTACTGAAAGAAGATATGGGTGGAAGGTATCATTGTAGCCACCCGTGGAAAACATTAGATGCTACATATATAATACAAAACATGAATTCACATAGAATAAAAATTGTCTTTGGAAATTAAAATTTTGTACAAATCATAAAAATTTCAATAGAGGGCTTGGAGAATAACAGGAAAATGCTCTACGAAGTAAAGCAAGAAGACAAAGAGATGGAAAGTAGGAGTCAGGGACAGTGAAATTAAAGGGAAAAGCCAGGAGGATGAATATCTAATAAACAGGAATTCCAAAATGACTGAGCAAGAAAAATGGAGCAGAGGGACAATGAACAATTTATAGACTGTCCCAGAAGAGAATGGCATGCGACTGCAGACTGAAAGGGCCTGTTGAGCATTTCTGCAATTTTGATAAATACATACACACACCAAGGAACAATACCAGAAAGTTTCAGGAATATGGACAAACAAAAGCTTCTCTACAAGCTTCTGAAAGAAATAAATCCGTGGCTCTTATACAAAGATCAGAGATCAGAAGGACTACATATTTCTTGATAGCAATATTAAGAAGAAGAAGTTAATGAAATGGTCGGTTCAATATTCTCCAAAAAAATAATATTCGGTCTTGTCTGTCTTGCCCAACAAGAGAGTCCATGTACATCCAGCATTTTGTTGTCATATTAAAATCCAAGAATAAACACAAAAAAAGAGGAAAACATGGGAGATTGGAGAGGCCAAAGATGCTGGTGAAGAAATATTACAGGATGACAGCTCTAAACAAAGTTTGAATCACAAACAGTCCCTTTTGGAATCTGTCAGAAGGCTCTGGGAGATTTATCTTATCTCCAACAAGATGAAACCCATTTATCCTCAGGAGATTGATGAGGAAATTTAAGAAGTTATGGAAGAATTTGTGATTCAGTTAAAAAAATAAAAGGGAGCACAGAAAAATAAGAATTTAGACAATTAGTAGCTATGAGGAAAGAAGGAAATAATAGTGGTGACAAAAATATTGAATTTAAAGGAAAATTAATCATTGAGGGGTGGAGAAATAGAACTAATATCAGTTCTATGTATTATAGAGTCAACCTATTATTGCCTATATTAACAAGGAAATCTGCATTGACAAAGTTCGAAATTAATGAATGGAAAATGATGCACCAATCAAACATTAACAGAAAAAGAAGATTAGCAATAGGATAATAGACAAAAAATTACTAACAACATATTGTAGTGAGCTATTTCTATCAGATTATAGGAAAAACTCACAAGAAAATTATAAATTATACAAAGGCATTTAATGAAAACTTATTTATTATATTGATTATAATTATTATATTGAAGTTAATATGCATGTATAATGACCTTTCTTCAATTTACTAGAATACATAATAGTTTTGCACACTAGAAGTGATTATTCCCATAAAAAGAATATGTTAAGAAATCTCACTCATAATAGCACAATATCTCTAGAAAGCTAACAGAGTCCCACAAATTCATATGGCAAAAGTCAGCTACATATCCAAACAAAAAGGTAAAATTGTAGTGAAAGACATTAAGATGTCCTAAATAAATGGAGATATATGTATATTTGAGACCAAGAAGCACTTATATGTTTCATGTAAATTCATTGCAATCCCAATAAAATATTTTGCAAGAATACTTTGTTCTTGTTTATTGTTTTGCTTTGTTTTTAATAGAAGATAACATACTGATGTTAAAAATCCATGTAGAAAATCCATGTCAAAAATGGAAAATAAATAAATAAAAATCCATGTCATAAAGACCAAGAACCCTAAGATGATTTTTCTAAAAGATGGATAAGGAAGTATGTTTATTTGGATAGATATCAGTAATAGTTGTAAAGCTTCAGAAACTAAGAGTATGTTGTTAGTGTAATACTGGTGCCAATAGATAAATGGAACAGATAGAAGGTTCTAAAGCAGATGATGGGCATACCAGACATATTTCCATTACAAAATTGGAATTAAAAATCAATGACTAAATGAATATCTCTAGAGAATTCTTATTTAAATATAGATCTGTTGCTCACACCACACACATGTTCACACAAACGCAAATCTCCGTGGTGAAAGTGAATGAAATTTCAAAAGAAAAGCTTTAAAAATATAAAAGTGAAGAGACTGTGAGACCATATTGATGACACTGGCTTAGAAAAATAATTTTTGAGTAAGATACAAAGAGGAGTAACCATAAAATGAATGCTTGATAAATTTGACTATATTAAAATTAAACATTTCTCTAGTACAAAATGAACTGTTACCAATGTTAAAAAAATACCTCAAACTTGAAGAAGATATTTGTAGTAATATATTACCCAATTGTTAAATCAGAATATATAAAGTATCTGTGTCGAATTGAAAAGAATATGTCAGAGCAAGTGAAACAAGAGGGAATAATAAAATATAAACATACTGAAGAGGAATGCTGAATAGTCTATAAAATTATAAGTGAGGGAGTGAGTCTCATTCCATGGAATAGTAAATGCAAAAGGCTGAGGTAGAAATAAGTGTAGCATATTTAAGAAACAGAAAGGCCAGTTTAGGCTTATATGGCTTAAGAATGGAAAAGGATGAGGCCAAAGTGACAGGCAGGAGCTTACATCATATGGATGTTGTAAATTGGGCTAAGGGGTTTAGATTGTATTGTAATGTGATGGGAAGCCATTGGTGGGTTTTGAGCAGAGGAGTGCCAATGCATTTAAAAATCATCATTCTCACTACTGGGTAGAGAGTAGCCATAGAATGACCGAAAAAGAAGCTAAGGGACTAAATGAGAGCTGAGGTGATGGCTTAGGACGATTTGTGTTGGAATGGGAACAGCAGAGGCAGTGAGAAGGAATTGGAGATACATTAGAAGTCAGAAGGGATTTTCTTATGGAATAAATGAGTAAAGTTGGAGAAAAACTCAGTGACTCTTAGGTTTTTATTTTGAAAAATTGGCTTGATTATCATGCAGGTTAGTAAAATGAGAAGGACTGATTTGTGGGGAGGATGGAAATGATGCATTCTGTTAAGGACAAGTATTCTTACCCAAATTGTAAAAATATAAAATATGAATGAAAAAGATGCACACCAGCCTCAGGATGGAGGTTGTATAAAGATCTAAGAAAGGGAGAAAAAGATAGAGAAGATTTCAGCTGAATGAATTACAGTTCATTTTAATTTTATATCTTAAAGTAAAAAATATCTGATATAAATTTGGAAAAATATTGACATTTATGGAATCCTAGTATTTCCTTGTTTTGTTTTCTTATTCTATGTAGTTCTCTTTACATTCCATTGTGGTGGAATACATCATTTTTTTTTAGATTTATAGCCAGATGTATAAGCCTGGATGTTGATGGTGGGTGAAGGTGGTGGGGTCAAATGGAAAGTGGAAAGACATGAAAGATGGTAACTTTGTATTGAAGAAGAATTATACTGAAAAATATGCATGTCAAAACT